>NC_000010.11:161515-313030 GCF_000001405.40 Homo sapiens | reverse complement strand
CTACTTGGCTTCAGGTGCTGTGTTGCCTCCTCCACGTGGTACAAGATAGGAAATGAGGTACTTAGCCGTGTACATTTTTTCCTGAGATACCACCTTGACCCATTATAACAATTTCTGAACTAGGATAATTTAGAGAGAATGTTGACTTATTTTTATTTTTGTTCCAGTTAATATTTAGGTTTCAAGGAATCATGAAGGAAAGAAATTATTTAAATCATTGCATTCAGCTCAAATATATTCAGTAAAGGTCCACTATGTGTTTGGAGCATACACACCTTTATTGGCGAGTTACTTTATTTATTCATGCTCTGCCTCTCTTTTTCAAACATAAGGGTGCTGAGAGAGAAGAGTAGCCATAATTACCCTAGAGAAGTAACAGAGAAGAGTGGAATCGTGATTTTCTTTTAAAATCTTGAACCATTGCTTATTTTCATAGACTTGGCTCTGTTGTGAGTGGTGGCAGTTTTTCCATTGGGCTTTGTGACCAAATTTGAGCCTGAAGAAAACCACTTAACTCCGTTTCCACTGCTGCAGCTGCTGTCTCTAGTGTCTGCCTGTTGCCGTCATGGGGTTGTGGGTGGGTGCCGGGCCGTACACACAAAGCACAGGTGTGCATCAGTCCAGGCGCCTGTGAAAAATCTTCTACTCTTTGTACTTTTTGGGAATATTTGGGAAAGACAGCTAAGTGACATAGGGAAAAATACCTTGCATCCAAGGAGCTTGCCCAAGTTGATTTCTGGAATTGTCCAGCAGCTGGGGTAGATTATTTAATGCGGGTAGCAGGCAGGGACCACAGCCATGGATGACGAGGAGGAGAAGAAAACAGAAGTTGGTGTCTCTGTTTGGGGAACAGCAACAGAGCACATTTGCTGGGGTGGAAACTCCTCCTGAGGCTGCCGAGCAGACCGTGTGAGAGCCCAGCGCTGGATTCTTTCAGGCTTCAGATGCATGTTGGCCTCTCCCTTTGCCTCATTGTGTAGGTGGATAGAGCTAGTGCCCTACTTGCAGGTGTAAAAGCTCACAGGCTCTCCTTTGTTCCTGGAATCAGAACCTTGGAACTACCTCAACAGATTTAGCAAATGAAACTTGCACTCCCGCGTCCCTCAGAAAGAAAGAGCACCGTGAGTGACACGGTGCAGTGCCACCATTTACCTTCTGTGTCCCTGCGCCGTGGTTAGTCACCTGCTACACCCTCTTCTGTTGCTCCGTGGATATGTTGACATCTTTAAAACATTTCTTTTAGCCTTGTACAGTGGTTAATTTTAATGATTTCCATATTTGATGTTGTTTTTGATCTTCTTTTCATTTTGTTTCCTGCTTTTCGCATTCTCCTCCCCACCCCTCCCTCTTCTCCATCCCATTTTTCACTGTCGGGTCGTATGTGTCTGTGTGTGTTGTGTGTGTTGGTTTCTGTTGTCTGGTGTTCTCTCCTCTCTTCTCGTCCTCACCCTTCTGCTGCTGTAGCCTCACAGGCTGTGGACCCTGGCCGAGCAGGTAGGGGACTTTCCTGTCCATCACACCCGTGCCTCCCTGCCCAGCCCCGCTGCCTTGCCCGCATCCAGCCGTGGGACAGACTAGCAGTTGAGTGCAGAGATTGGCCGGGGGTCTGCAGGCCCTGTGATCATGGGTGCTGCCGGCCGGGCAATGTCACGTTCAGGCCTCACGCGTAGCCGACGCTGTCTTCCCGGGGTGCGCGGTCAGTGGTTCATTTGCCAGTTTGGTTCATCTCTGTTGTACTTAATTCTTCACCTGTTTTCCATTTACTTATTTTTAATTGACCCTCCATGGCTGTATTTTGCATTACTCACTGTGGGCCGGTTCTCTGCTCAGCGCTGGTCTGTGGGGCGGCTTTGCTGAGCAGCCGGGGGTAGAGCTGTCACTGGGAGCGTCCGCCGGGAGGCTGACTCGCATGTGCTGTTCTTTTTCCCTGTCTCAGTGGTGAGATACCAGGGCCCAGGGTTATTGAGTACTATGGTATGTTTTCATGACATTGTCTTTTTTTTTTCTTATATATAAGCAATATAAGAAAATTTTGTGCCTTTAGTACAAAAATTGGAATTCTCTCCTGAAGAATTTTAGTGTAATTCTTCAAATGAATTCTGAAGGGCTCCCTTATTTTTTGGCAAATTTATTGTAGGTTTAGTCTTTTTCCAACCAAGGTATTGTACTGCCTTCCCCAAAAATGAGTGTACAATTTTGGTTTGTAATGCAGCCTTCGTGATGCTGCTCTTCTGTGTACAGAGGTCACTGGTCAGAAGTCAGCATGGTGTAATTTTTCAAGCAATTTATGGTGCCAAGAAAAGATTTCTGGACCCCTGTGTAAAATCAACAGCCCAGTGGAATGGCTCAGACCACAAAGTCCTGCCCAGCTCTCCAGGATAAAATGCCCCTTCCCTGACCTGTGTCTTGGCCGGAAATGCCCTCCTCAGGCCAGAGAGCCAGAGCCCCAGCAGAGCCCGGAGGAGCAAGATGCTCCCCTCACCTCTTCCTCCCTGGCCTGTCCATCCATATCACACATCTGCTTCACTGTCCTGGGCCCTCAAAATACACCTTTTGTTAAAGGTGGATGCATGTGGTAAAAATTTCTCCGCACAGATGCTTCATATCCTTCCAACCTGCTTTTGCAGCGCCGTCTTGGCAGTTTTCAGCCTTCCTTTTTTTGGCACAGTGCGTGGCTTTGTCTCCTTTCTTTCCTATTTTTATATATTGGCGGTCAAGCTGTGTGAATCCAGTATTATCCTAATAAGATATTCCTTCTGGAATTTAGGTTATCACACTGAAAGTTAGCAGGTGCCTTGAGAGGTTGCTGGTCTAAGTGTTTTTAGTTTTATTTTTCACTTTAAGATTTTACAAAAGAAATGTTTCCTAACTAGTAGAAGCACAGACCCCAATCTCCCTCCATGTAAACTTGAGTTAACCACTCTGTTGTTGCTTGCAGGGAACCTCAGGACCTGACCCAACCACTGTCTACGTGGACATGAGAGCCCTGAGACACGACAGGTACTGTACACTTCTGGGTTTTTTCTTTTTTTCCTTTTTTTGTTTTGTTCTGCGGCCTTGCATGCAGGTCTCCATCTAGAAGAAGAGGTGCACACGATGTTTATCTGCCCAGAGTGTAACTGTCTCATGAGTGAAGTGGTGGAGTTAGGCATTGGCTTGAACTTTGCAATTGAAAACTCTGGCCAGGCATGGTGGCTCACGCCTGTAATCCCAGGTATTTGGGAGGCTGAGGTAGGCGGATCACCTGAGGTCAGGAGTTCGAGACCAGCCTGGGCAACATGGTAAAGCCCCGTCTCCACTAAAAATTACCCAGGTTTGGTGGCGGGCACTTGTCATCCCAGCTCTTTGGGAGGCTGAGTCAGGAGAATTGCTTGAAACTGGGAGGCAGAGGTTACAGTGAGCTGAGATTGCACCTCTGCATTCCAGCCTGGGTGACAGAGTGAGATCCCGTCTCAAAAAAAAAAAAAAAAGAAACTCTGTTGCAGGACAGCAGTGGCAGGTGTGATAGCAGGAGTATGGCCAGAGCTGCTTTATCTGACCATCTCACTGGAAGGCAGGCACTCGGTTCTTTTCCTTCCTATTTTATGCACCATTTTGCCCCCGTCGTAGAATGTCAGCATCCTGCCCACATTTCTTTACATGAATGGAAATGTTTTGTCAAGATGCTTGAAATAGGGGTTAGGGGTCAGGTTACCTTCTCTATGTGGCCTCCTAAGCGCCCCCTGAGAAGAAAAGTGGAGTTCTTGGTGAGAGTGTGAGGACTCCAGAAAGCAGGCATGGGGTTGAGCAGGATGAGAAGCCCTTTAGAGGAATCTCTGCCCGCCAAGGAGGACCCACTAAGATGCCAGAGAGGAAGGAAAGAAGGCGTCATTTTTACTGCAGACTTCCCCCGTTGAAACAGATCATCTTCCACTTGGTGACTGTAGAGGTGCCCGTTCATTGTTGCTTAGGTGAAGTGCGTGGGACATGGTGCCTTCCCTTATCGCCGTCAGCAGCCGCTCCGTGACCTGTTGCTGTGTGTGCCTGTGCCCCCAGGGATGTCTGACATGCCTGGAGGCATTTTCGATCAGCACAAGTTGGGCAGTGGCTCAGCTGGCATCTGGTGGGGGGAGACCAGGGGTGTCCCAACAGCCTGCATGGGACGGCCAGTGGCTGAGAGCTCACACGCCAGGGCCAGGAGCCACGCCCGCCCTGACGGTTCACACTCGTAGATGCATGCCTGGCCCTGTGGCTCTTCCATCAGGCCCTCTGGTCGACAGAACCACTGGCTGCACAGTTATAAAATCACAGAAGAGTGGTGGCCACGTAGGAGCCCTCAGGAGGCCCTGCAGGCTGAGGGCCAGAGGCAACGCCTGCCCCCAAGGCCACCAGCTGCCAGGGACAAAGTTCAGTCTGGAACACTTAGAAAAATCAGAAATGTAGTTTTAGATTAGGTAACTTGTTTCTGGGCATACAGTTTTCTAAATAATCACTTCTGGGCATTAAAACAAATTCACCTGACTCCCCATAAGAATTCTTTGGAAAATAACTCATAATTATATAACTTCCTGAAGGAGTGAGCAGTAGCTCATCAATAACACATGTATGCAGTTCTGTCTGTGGCCTGGCCCTCAAAGCGTAACCTTTTCCCTGACTAGGCTGCTAGCTGCTTTGGAAAGCATCTGAAATGGAAGTGAGAGTACATAGGAACAGGAGCTGGCGGTGCAGTTCACTTTCCCACACACCACTGCATGCCTCTGGTCGGCACCCACGCCGCTGACCGTCGCTGCTAGCTGGCCTAGGCTCTCACCCTTGAGCAGTGCCGAGGGGAGCTCCTCGGATGCCAGACATCTTCATGAGACTCAGACCTGGCATTTTACATACAAAGAAGGAAAGCAAAGTCTGGCTGTAAAGTGACTTCCTTTCACCGGGCCCCGCCCAGGCACCCCCAAAGCCTCCCTGCTGCCCTCCAGATGGACCGTGTGCTGGGCCCCGCCCAGGCACCCCTGAACCCTCCCTGCTGCCCTCCAGATGGACCATGTGCTGGGCCCCGCCCAGGCACCCCCAAAGCCTCCCTGCTGCCCTCCAGATGGACCGTGTGCCGGGCCCCGCCCAGGCACCCCCAAAGCCTCCCTGCTGCCCTCCAGAGGGACCGTGTGCCGGGCCCCGCCCAGGCACCCCTGAACCCTCCCTGCTGCCCTCCAGATGGACTGTGTGCCGGGCCCCGCCCAGGCACCCCTGAACCCTCCCTGCTGCCCTCCAGATGGACCGTGTGCCGCTCTTTCTCCCGTGCCCTCGGGTGGGACACCACGCTGCCCTTCCCTCCCGGCTTCTGGGGCTGCTCTCACTCTTCTCATTCCTTTCTGTTTTTTTCTCCGCGATGTTCTCTCTTTGACCTTTCTAACCAGGTCTGTCTGTGGTCCCCTCCGTCTGGCTGGGCCCCTTCTCCCTTACCCCCCCACTGCAGAGAATCTCAGCGGCGTCCCAGTCTTGCTCTCCGATGCCCTCACCACCCACTCACAGTCCGCAGCCCCCAGCCCACCTCCAAGGAGTGTGGCCCCAGGGGCCTTTTCTCCAGTCCTCCAAGCCAGCCCCAAAGCCCTCTCCTTCCTTAAACCTCCCTTAAATATTCCTAGGTAAAAATGTCATCCAGCTTTAATCTCCAGCATCACTTTCAACCTTTACCAGCATGTAATATGCCTGGTGCTGCAGCCACTGGCAGGGGGCTCTGGGTCACACAGGTCAGAAGTCAGCTCCTCTGGGACGAGGTATTACACTCTGTAACCTCAGTTTCCCTCTTGCCTTAGTCTGTTTCCATTTCTGTAAAGGAACACCTGAGGCTGGTGATTTATAAAGAAAAGAAGTGTATTTGGCACACAGTTCTGCAGGCTGTACAGGAAGTGTGGTGCCTGCATCTGCCTCTGGTCAGGCTTCAGGGAGCTTCACTCATGGTGGAGGGAAAGAGGGGCCACAAGTGCAGAGATCACGTGGTGGGAGGAGGGGACAGACTGTTTTTAGCCACCGGCTCTCCCGGGAGCTGGTAGAGCAAGAACCTGCTCACCCCCAGGGAAGGCCTGCATCTATCATGACGGATCTGCCTGCATGACTCCGACTTCTCCATTAGGCCCCACCTCCAACCCTGGGAATCACATTTCAGCAGGAGCTCTGGGGGTGCTCAGAACAGGTGCAGTAAAGCCAGTCTTCCCAGGCACCTGTGAGGACAAAGTAAAGGAATGCTGTGAAGAGCCAGACTGGGGCAGATGCTGTCACTATGAGCTCCGGCAGCTGGATGGTGACAGAGGACTCACCTCTTCTGATCCACCGGCCCAGGGCTGCTGACCACAGAGGGTGAGAAAGTCGACAGTCCAAGGCCAGCAGTCGGGAGGCAGTGAAATGAGAGCCACTAAAAGCACTGATCTTATTTCTTTCTTGTTACTCTTCCTATAAAAATGGGATGGTGGTTTTCTCACTTGATCTGCATTAGGCTCTGTCACAGGATTAATTACTGTTCCTGTTGCTTTAATGGCACACTCACTTGCGAGCTCCAAGGCACCTGCCCAATTATCGTCTAATTACTCTGGAGAAGGTTAGCTTATTGGTATGCACATGCAATTTCCTTGAGAGAGAATATGAATGTGCACACGCACAAGAAAGACGGCCTACAGAGGAAGACCACCATTGTGAAAGTCAGTTGTCGAACAGGGGTATTAGCCATTTCTGCTTGGTTTTCTGCCCCTGTTTCTGATGCCCTTTTTATTCTTGGAGCCATGGTGGGTGGGACCTGCCTGCATCTGTGACAGGTCACCATGGAGAGCATTTCTGCATCATAGAGTGAGGGGACACACTCTCCCTGCTTCTGGAACAGATTACAGTCCCACATGTGCAGGAAGGAAATGATGAAATTGTGTTGAGACTATTTGCAAGTGACTGTTCAATTTTAAAATATTTGTTACAGTGTAATTCATTTAAAATGAAATCATAAGTCTCTCAATGACTTCCAATTTGGTCTTTCCATGAATACTTGAGTTTTTCAGACTTTAGATAGGAAAAAAATATAATATATATATATATATATATATTTGTCTGCATTTGAAGATGCGGTTTTAAGGCTGGGAATGGGCTCACACCGGTAATCCCAGTGCTTTGGGAGGCCAAGGCAGGAGAATCACTGGAGCCCAAGAGGTTTGAGGGCAGCCTGGGCAACATAGCGAGACTCCATCTCTACAACATTTTTTAAAAATGAACTAGGTGTGGTGGCATGTGCCTATAGTCCTAGCTACTTAAAAAGCTGAGGTGGGAGGACTGCTTGATCCTGAGAGTTAGAGGCTACAGTAAGCCATGATCACACCGCTGCACTCCAGCCTGGGCAATGGAGCAAGACCTTGTCTCAAAAGAAAAAGGAACAGTTTTAGCAATTTTTTACATCTTAAGAACATTACATTGGTGTAAAGTCCTAGAATGAAAACTTTCTTAGCTTCCTCCGGGCTTGTAACCTGAAGTCATAACTAAAGGGTATTACCAGAAAAGCATAGATACTAAATTAATTCCTACTCATTGGTTAGCCCAAGTATCAAGATCCTGAGAGCAGGGGCCACAGAATAGAAGTACATCAGTAAACTTGAGACTTAGCAGCAGAATGGAGGGAGTGAAGATAGAGACAAAGACAAACAGCTTAACAGGAGCCTTTCACCCGATCAGGTCCTTGTGTGTGTGTCTCAGTGCATGTGTGAGTGTGCTGTGCATACATGCATGTGTGTTTTGCAAGTGTGTGAATAGTGTCTGCACATGTGAATATGAGTTTGTACATGTGCGAGCTTGCCTGTGTCATGTGTTGCATGGGTGAGTGTGATGTGGGTACAAGTATAAGTGCATATATGCATGAGAGTATGAGTTTGTGCAAGTGTGTTGTGTATATATGCTGTTGTGTGTTACAAGTGTACGTGTGTGCAATACTGCATGTGTTTCAACTGCACATGCATGTGCATGAGTGTAGTGTGTGCTGCAAGTATAGACACGTGCATATATGTGTCATGAGTGTGTTGCAAGTATGTTGCAGTTGTGTGACTTTCAAATGTGTACACATTTATGGCTTTGCACGTGTCGTGTGTGTGCATACAAATATGTAGCAGATATTTGTGCACACGAGTACATGCAAGTATGAGTGTGCATGTGTGTGTTGCATGGGTGGGTGCCTGTATGTGGTACAAGTATATGAGGGTTTGCAAGAATGCAAGTGCACTCCCATGTGCATGTGTGTGCAAGTGTGAGTTTGCATGTGTGAGTGTAGTGTACTGTTTTATGTGTGTGTAAGTATGTTACATGTGTACGTGTGTGCATGCAGATGAGTTTGTGCTAGTGTGTGGGCTATGTGAGTATTGTGTGTGTGTTGCATGTGCACATGCACACTGAGTCTTAGTATTGCCTTGTATTTTGTATGTGGAGTTGTTACAAGTATACACACATGCATATATGTGGAAGTGTGTGTGTGTGTGTGTGCATTCGTGTGCATACATACATGTGTACATGAGAAGGATTTGCTGGGAGGGGGCCAGAGTTCTCCAGCTGGTCTTTAGTCCCTTCATCATGGCCTGTGGTCTTAGCAGACTGAGAGCTGGGCTGTCTGTGGAGCTCGTGTCCCTTTGCTGAATTAGTCATGTGCTGCATAGTGCTGTTTCTGTCAATGACAGACCACAGTGGTCCCCAAGACAGTGTCCCCTAAATGAGAGTGGTTCCGTAAGACTGTAATGAAGCTGAAAAATTCCTGTGAAATGGAGTTTATTGATGTTGTGGCCATCATAATGCAATGCGTTATGTGTTTGTGGCAATGCTAGTATAAACCTCTGCTGCCAGTTGTATAAACGTATAGCATGTAGGATCATACACAGTACGTGCATAATACTGGACTGTGATAATAGACACCTGTGAAGCCGGTTTATGTACTTACCTTTAATGTCGTTATCTTAGAGCATATTCTCTATACTTAACAATAAAAAAGTTAACTGTAAGACAGCCTCAGCAGGTCCTTCAGGAGGAATCCAGCAGAAAGCATGGTTCCCACAGAAGATGACGGCTCTGTGCATGTCATTGCCCTAAAGACCCTCCAGTTGGACAAGATGTGGAGGTGGAAGCCAGTGATTTCAGTGATCCTGACCCCGTGGAGGCCCAGATTAATGTGTGTCTGTGTATTAGTTTATAACAAAAAAAAAAGTTTAAAAAGTAAAAAACTTTCGGCCAGGCGCGGCGGCTCATGCCTATAATCCCAGCACTTTGGGAGGCTGAGGCGGGCAGATCACCTGAGGTCGGGAGTTCGAGACCAGCCTGACCAACATGGAGGAACCCCGTCTCTACTAAAAATACAAAATCAGCCGGGCGTGGTGGCGCATGCCTGTAATCCCAGCTACTAGGGAGGCTGAGGCAGGAGAATCGCTTGAACCTGGGAAGCAGAGGTTGTGGTGAGCCAAGATCGCGCCACTGCACTCCAGTCTGGTCAACAAGAGCAAAACTCTGTCTCAAAAAAAGAAAAAAAAAAAGTAAAAAACTTTTAATAGAAAACTTGATATAAAGATAAATTATTTTTGTACAGCTGTACAATATGTTTTAATCTGTTTTTATAAGTGAGTCAAAAAGCTTTAAGGAATTTACAACATAGAAAGTTACAGTAAATGTAGGTTAATTTATTTAACAAGGGAATTTTCTTATAGATTTAGTGTAGCTTACGAGTACAGTGTTTATGAATCTACAGCCACGTGCGGTGATGACTTAGCTCACAAGTGCAGTGTTGATCAATCTACAGCCTCATGCAGTGATGTCTTAGCTCGCGAGTAGTTTTTACAAAGTCTACAGCCGCACGTGGATGATGTCTTAGCTTACGAGTACAGTGTTTAAGAATCTACCGCCACGTGTGGTGATGTCTTGGCTCACGAGTACAGTGTTTATGAAGTCTACAGCCGCGTGCGGTGATGTCTTAGCTTACAAGTACGGTGTTTACAAATCTACAGTCGCGTGCAGTGTTGTCTTAGCTCACAAGTACGGTGTTTACGAACCTACAGACACATGCGATGTCTGACCTCACGAGTATGGTGTTTACGAATCTACAGCCGTGTGAGGTGATGTCTTAGCTTACAAGTACAGTGTTTACAGAGTCTACAGCCACGTGCAGTGATGTTGTAGCCCTTTGTGTGAACTTACCACTCACCCAGAGCAGCTTCCCGTCCTACAAGCTCTGTTTATGGGTAAGTTCCCTATATGGGTGCACCATTTTTTATCTTTTCACAGCATGTTTTACTGTGCCTTTTCTATGTTTAGATACACAAATATTGTTGTATTACAATTGTATGTAGTCACATGTTGTCCAGGTGTGCAGCCCGGGAGCACTTGGCCGTACCATACAGCATAGGAGCGTAGGAGGCTACCCCATCCCAGTGTGTGTAGGTCCACTCTGTGGTGTTTGCGTGATGACACAATGGACTGACAGCTCATTTCTCAGGATGTTGCCTTGTCGTTAAGTACATGACTGTACTTTTTACCTCCAGCTTCTCAGTGTTTCATATGATCCTCAGGTGACTGTCCCAGCAGTGTACCCAGGAGCCTCACCCTCACTCCCCCGTCCCTTGGGTACCAGAGCTGAGCCTCAGGGTGGTTTGGCTGCAATGAATTTAACAGGTGCTTGGATTAAGCTCAGGACCCATTGTCTGGCCTCAGATCTATCACTTTCTGGCCATGTGATCCTGCACACGTTGCCTTCTTGTATTTTACTTTCTCTGCCTGTGAAATGGCAAAAGCAGTGCCACTCCTAGAGTCATTAGGAGGATTCTTGGTATGCGTCAGGTGCTTGGGACAATGCTGGCCAGCTGTAAGTCTCAGTACAATTATCTGATACAGTTATACCTTTACATGGATATACAATTATGTGTATGTAGTCATGCAAATGCCTTTTTTCTTATTAGTTTATAGTTTTTCCTTTATTTCTGCTCTGGCTGTCTTCAGGCATGAACCCAACTTGAGATGATCATCGGGTAAGGGACAGTAGGGCTTTCACAATTCCTTAAATAGAACTTGCAGTCTACTTGAAAACTTGCAGTCTACTTGAAAACCAGTGGGAAAACCGAATGAAAAATAAAAGAATTCACTTTCACACCATGTCACTTGTGGTATTTGGACACAATCTCCTGCGAGGCTTTGCCGTCCTCCTGGTGTCTGGTTTGCACTGCTCCCACTTCTCTTGCCTCCCGACTCTCCAGACATCCCCTGGCCAGGTGTGTGTGTGAAAGGAGAGCAGTCATGGAGCACTGTGGCCACCCTGCAAGCGGGCGAGGACGCGGTTACCAGAGGCGGGCTCCCGGGTCCTGCCCCTCCAAGGTGTGTTTTCAGGAGATGGAAGAGGCAGGCTTGTTGCCATATTTTTGTCTCTCCTTTTTTAGAATTACCATCCATATCCCAGAGAGACTGTGTCCATGTTTAAACTCATTAATATTTTTAGTCTTTACATCCCATTCTCTAATTTCTTCTTTCACTTTGCCGTGTCAGTGTAACGTTAAACCTTTTAGGGCCTCAGTTTATCTCCTAAATGAGACAAGCAGCGAATGAGCAGTTCCCACCCACTGTGACCCGCTGCAGCTGCCTTTTCTCCTGACCCCCTCCACCTTCCCCAGACCCCAACCATCTACCGTCTGCTTAAGGCCCTTGGGCTGACCAGCATCCCCTCCCTCTGACATCACCAGCGTTTCCTTGTCTCTGAAGTCGTTTCTCTGCATGTAAACATGACGTGATAAATGCTGTCTAAAAACAAAAACCCTCCTTTGACCCTTTTCACCCGCGGCCACCCCACGGCCCTCTCTCCTGACAGCTGAACACCTCAGAGGGTCTGGGTTCATCTCCTGCTGGCTCATGAGAGACAAAGCCCCATGTCTCCACGGTTCCCTGGTGGCACCCGGCAAGGCCACCTACGACCCCACCCTAATGTTCCACGCTCAGTGCCAGTGGATGCTGCTGAGCCTACCCTCCTGCTGGAAACTTGCTCTTCTCTTTGGCTTTAGGGACTACACACTGATAGTTCTTTTGTTGAAATAAACAGAAAAGCTTATTTTTCTGTTTAATAAAAGATGTCTTTTATGATTTAATAAAAAGATACTTTTCAAGTCCTTTCTGTGGAGAAGGAGTTGCCCGGCTGCTTAGAGCGAGTTCCGGTTTCTCCACACGCTCAGGGCCGCCCCTGGATCCGGTTTCTCCACACGCTCAGGGCCGCCCCTGGGTTCCGGCTTCTCCACACGCTCAGGGCCGCCCCTGGGTTCCGGCTTCTCCACACGCTCAGGGCCGCGCCTGGGTTCCGGCTTCTCCACACGCTCAGGGCCGCGCCTGGGTTCCGGCTTCTCCACACGCTCAGGGCCGCGCCTGGGTTCCGGCTTCTCCACACGCTCAGGGCCGCGCCTGGGTTCCGGCTTCTCCACACGCTCAGGGCCGTGCCTGGTTTCCGGTTTCTCCACACACGCAGGGCTGCTCCTGGTTCTGGTTTCTCCACGCACTTAATATTGTCCTCATTAAATCTCTACTCTCCATCCCTCTTTTCTCGGCCCCTGGTACCCACCATTCTACTTTGTCTATGAATTTGACTACTCTAGGTAGGTACCTCATGTAAGTTGAGTCCTGTGGTATTTGTCTTTTCGTGACTGGCTGATGTTACCTAGCATAATGTCCTCAAGGTTGATCGATGTTGTAGCATTGTGTCAAAATCTTCCTTTTTAAGATTGAATAATATTTCCTTGTACGTATATACCACACTTGGCTCATCCATTGTCTGCCGATGTTCACTTGGGTTGCTTCCACCTTTGGGCTGCTGTGAACATGGGTTTATAGATACTGTTCAAGACCTGGTTTCAGTTCTTCTGGGTATATACTCAGAAGTGGAATTGCTGAACCATACATTAGTTCTATTTATATTTCTGGAGGAACTGCCATACTGTTTTCCACAGCCGCTGCATTGTTTTACCTTCCCGCCAGCAGTGCACGTGGGTCTGGTTTCTCCGTGTGCTCACCAACAGTAGGTGTTTTCTATTTTTTTGAGAGTAGTTATCCTAATGGGTGTGAGATGGTATCTCGTTGTGGCTTTGGTGTGCGTTTTCCTAGTGATGGTCTTGTCGAACATCTTCTCTTGCTCACTGGCTATTTGTATACCTTCTTTAGAGAAATGACTATTCAAGTTTTTCCACACTTTTTAGCTGGAGTGGTTTCTTTGTTTGGTTTGCATTTAGTTTTTTTTGGCTATTGAATTGTAAGAGTCCCTTACACATTCTGGATATTAGCCCCTTAACAGATATGTGATTTGCAAATCTTGCTTTCATTTCCTGGGTTGCGTTTTCACTCCGCTGATTCTGTTCATTGTGTCCTTTGATGAACAGAAGCTTTTAATTTTGATGTCCAGTTTATCCTCTTTGTTTTCTGCATATACTTTTGGTGTGGTAGCCAAGAAATAAATGACATATCCAACACATGACTGTTCCTTTAACAGTCTACAGTTTTATCTCTTACATTTATGTCATTGATCCACTTTGAATTAAATAATTTTAAATATTTTTTAAAGGCAGGGACACTATTCTTCAAAAATGTCAACGTCATGAAGATAAAAAAGACTTTGGAAATCTTCCCAATTAAGGCAAGCCAAAGAAATGACAACAAAATATTAAGCCTGATGCTAGGGTGAGCCCTGCACTCAAGGCGGAGCTGTAGGGACATTACTGGAGTAATGGGAAGAATTGGAAGAGAGGCTATAGATTAAATATTGGATCAATATTAAAATTACTGAAACTGATAACTGTTCTGTAAGATAGTATTCCTATTCTCAGGAAATCCACACTTACCTTGATGTATTTAACTTATCCTCAAATGGTTCAGAAAAAACTGTGTGTGCACATTGTGTAAGATGGGGTGGGCAGTGCAAAGTATAAAGCAGATGGAACATAATATTAACAAGCAGTGAACCTGGGTGTTAGAAGTGTTCTTTATACTGTTTTCATTCTTGCAAGCTTACTATCATTTTGAAATTAATTTGAAAAAATTTTTACACATGCTCATAAACATATCAAATCTATAATTATTTTTCAAGTCTTTCTAGTCTTACTCAAAAAGGGAAAGTTGATCCACATTAGTCACACTTCATGGTGGAAAGTGACGGAAACCAAGTTGGACCATTTCAGCAAGCGAAGATTGAAGTAGGAGAGAGGTGCCTGAGGAACTGGAGGGTTGGGTGGAGGTGCAGCCCAGTGACAGGGAGGGTCTGGAAGCAAAGCCCAGAAGATCCTCAGGAGTCCCCTTGTCACCTTGCTTCTCTGCCCTGTGCACACTTCTGTGCAGATGGATCAGCTCTCTGTGCTCATTCCACCTGGGAGAATGCTGCAGCCCCACGGTCATTAGACCTCCTCTGTCAGACGGCTGCCCATCACAAGCTAATGGGCCTGAGGCATGGGCTTGGTCACCCAGAGGCAGGAGGCTGTGCCCTCCATGAGGCCAGCAGTGTCGCATCTCAAAAGCCAAGAAGAGAGCACACACCCTCTCCTCTCTGGCATGGGCTGAGCAGAGCGATGCCTCCAGAGAGGGCATGTGGAAGGGACGGGGAAAACCTGCAAACGTGACCCAGCTAAGTGCGAGGTCACCATCAGTGATGAGCAGGGGGGCTTTGATATGACGCCATGGGAAGGGCGCTCATCTCTAAAGCCCTTTTCCAAAATGCCTGTGATCCGTGTCTACCCATGAACAATGTTAGACAAGTCCCAACCAAAGGGCAGCCTACAAAACACCTCACCAGTCCCCTCAAAACCGTCAAGGTCAGCAAAACAGGGACATTTCTGAGAGACTGTCACAGTCCATAGGAACTCAGGGAGACGTGACGGCCAATTGTCATGTGGAATCCTGGGTAGGATCCTGGGACAGGAAGGGGATATTAGGGGGAAATGAGGAAGGCTGAGTAAAGGATAGATTTAAATCGTCTCACTGTTGGCTTACTAATTCTAACTAATGTTGGATATGTGCGCATTCTGAGACTGGGGCATATTGTAGGGCAGTGTGGGAGCTCTACCATCCTGCTCAATTTTTCTTAAATCTGAAACTCCTAAAAAGTGTATTTTTAACTTTTTATAAAATTAACACATAATTGTGCAACTCATAGGGTATATGTTTCAATACATATAACATGTAGTTAGCAGATCGGGATATTAGATCGGGAGCGTGCATCATTTCTTTGGGAATGTTTGGTATCTTCCTCCTAGCTATTTGAATGATAAATTACTGTTAGTTATAGTCATCCTGCGGTGGTACAGAACACTGGAACGTATTCTTCCCAGCCAGCTGTGATTTTGTTTCCTTTAACAAATCTCTCCCCATCCCTCCCTTCCCAGCCTCCAGTATGCACTGTTCTACTTTGTATTTCTATGAAATCATCTTTCTTTAGCTTCCACATATGAGTGAGAACGTGTAGTATTTAACTTTCTATTCCTGGCTTATTTCACTTTATTTAGTGTCCTGCGCTTCCGTCCATCTTGCTGCAGATGACAGGATTTCATTCTCTGTTATGGCTGAATCCTATTCAATGTTATATACCACACCTTCCATATCCATTCATCTGCTGTTGGACTCCTGGGTGGATTCATATCTTGGGTATTGTGAATCAGGCTGCAGTAAACAGAGGAGTGCAAATGTCTCTCCAGTACACTGATGATTTCATTTCCTTTGGATAGGCGCCCAGTAGTGGGATTGTTGGATCGTATGGTAGTTCTGTTCGTAGTTTGGTGTGTGTGTGTGTGTGTGTGTGTGTGTGTGTGTATGTGGTGGGGTGGGGGGGGGTTGGTTTTGTTTTGTTTTGTTTTGTTTTTGAGACAGTCTCACTCTGTTACCCAGGCTGGAGTGCAGTGGCATGATCTCGGCTCACTGCAACCTCTGCCTCCCCGGTTCAAGTGATTCTCCTGCCTCAGCCTCCTGAGTAGCTGGGACTACAGGCCACTACGCCCAGTTAATTTTTTTTTTATTATTATACTTTAAGTTCTAGGGTACATGTGCACAACGTGCAGGTTTGTTACATATGTATACATGTGCCACGTTGGTATGCTGCACCCATTAACTCGTCATTTACATTAGGTATATCTCCTAATGCTATCCCTCCCCCCTCCCCCCACCCCACAACAGGCCTCAGTGTGTGATGTTCCCCTTCCTGTGTCCAAGTGTTCTCATTGTTCAATTCCCACCTATGAGTGAGAGCATGTTGTGTTTGGTTTTCTGTCCTTGTGATAGTTTGCTGAGAATGATGGTTTCTACCTTCCTCCATGTTCCTACAAAGAACATGAACTCATCCTTTTTTATGGCTGCATAGTGTTCCATGGTGTATATGTGCCACATTTTCTTAATCCAGTCTATCATTGATGGGCATTTGGGTTGGTTCCAAGTCTTTGCTATTGTGAATAGTGCCGCAATGAACATACGTGTGGATGTGTCTTTATAGCAGCATGATTTATAATCCTTTGGGTATATACCCAGTAATGGGATGGCTGTGTCAAATGGTATTTCTAGTTCTAGATCCTTGAGGAATTGCCACAATGTCTTTCACAATGGTTGAACTAGTTTACAGTCCCACCAACAGTGTAAAAGTGTCCCTGTTTCTCCATACCCTCTCCAGCACCTGTTGTTTCCTGACTTTTTAATGATTGCCATTCTAACTGGTGTGAGATGGTATCTCATTGTGGTTTTGATTTGCATTTCTCTGATTACAGCTTATACAAAAATTAATTCAAGATGGATTAAAGACTTAATGTTAGACCTAAAACCATAAAAACCCTAGAAGGAAACCTAGGCAATATCATTCAGGACATAGGCATGGGCAAGGACTTCATGTCTAAAACACCAAAAGCAATGGCAACAAAAGCCAGAATTGGCAAATGGGATCTAATTAAACTAAAGAGCTTCTGCACAGCAAAAGAAACTACCATCAGAGCAAACAGGCAACCTACAGAATGGGAGAAAATTTTTGCAATCAACCCATTTGACAAAGGGCTAATATCCAGAATCTACAAAGAACTTAAACAAATTTACAAGAAAGAGTCAAACAACCCCATCAAAAAGTGGGCGAAGGATATGAACAGACACTTCTCAAAAGAAGACATTTATGCAGCCAAAAAACACATGAAAAAATGCTTATCATCACGTCTAGCTAATTTTTGTATTTTTTTAGTAGAGATGGGGTTTCACCATATAGGCCAGGCTGGTCTCGAACTCCTGACCTTGTGATCAGCCCACCTCGGCCTCCCAAGGGTATGTGTGTTTTAAGGAGCCTTCATACTGCTCTCCATAGTGGCTGTATTAGTTTACATTCCTACCAACAGTGTATAAGAGTTCCCTTCTCTCTGTATCCTCACCAGCATTTGATATTTTTTGTCTTTTTGATAATAGCCTTCTTTTTTTTTTTTTTTTTTTTTTTTTTTTTTTTTTTTTTTTTTTTTTTTTTTTTTTTTTTGAGATGGAGTCTCGTTCTTTCGCCCAGGTGGGACTGCAGTGGCGCTATCTCGGCTCACTGCAAGCTCCGCCTCCCGGGTTCATGCCATTCTCCTGCCTCAGCCTCCTGAGTAGCTGGGATTACAGGCGCCCGCCACCGCACCCGGCTAATTTTTGGTATTTTTAATAGAGACGGGGTTTCACTGTGTTAGCCAAGATGGTGTCAATCTCCTGACCTCGTGATCCACCCACCTCGGCCTCCCAAAGTGCTGGGATTACAGGCGTAAGCCACCGCGCCCGGCCAATAATAGCCATCTAACTGGAATGAGATGATATCTCATTGTAGTTTTGACTTTTGCCTCCCTAGTAACAATAAGTATAAGCAGCTGAGCCGTCCTTGCTGCTGCTCTGCCTGTGGAGTAGCCATTCTTTTATTTCTTTATTTTCCTAATAGACTTGCTTTCACTTAAGAAAAAAAAAAGACTTCCACTTCTCTGATGATTTGTGATGTTGAGCATTTTTCATGTATTTTCTGGACATTTATTTCTTTTGAGAAATGTCTGGATCATTTGCCCATTTTTTAATCAGTTTTCTTTTTGTTTTTTGGGTTTTTCTTTGCTGTTGAGTTGTTTGAGTTCCTTATATATCCTGAATATTAATCCCCTGTCTGGTGAGTAGTTTGCAAATGTATTCTTTTATTCTGTAGGTTGTTTTTTCACTTTGTTTCCTTTGCTGTGCAGAAGCTTTTAAGTTATTTATAATCCTATTTGCTTATTTTTGCTTTTGTGGCCTGTGCTTTTGAGGTCTTATTCAGTAAGTATTTTTTTAAAAACGAAGGAGTTCCCAAAAATAAATTTTTTTTTTAATTCGATGCAAGTGAATGTCATGGAAACTTTATGAATGGACATAAATTGATAAACAATTTATCCCACTCTTTGCCACAGAAACGTTAATGCATTTTTTTCTTCTCTTTTTTTTTTTTCTTTTTTTAGATGGGGTATCACTCTGTCACCCAGGCTGGAGTGCAGTGGCATGATCCCAGCTCACTGTGACCTCTGCCTCACAAACTCAGTTGATACTCCCACGTAGTTGGGACTGCGGGTACACACCACCACACCTTGCTCATTTTTGCATTTTTTGTAGAGATGGGGTCTCGCCACATTGCCTAGGCTGGTCTCAAACTCCTGGGCTCAAGTGATCCTCCTGCCTCAGCCTCCCCAAGTGCTAATGTTACATGCACCCAGCATATTGATGCACCCAGAGTATTGATGCATGTGATTAGGGTCTTAGGTAGCAGGGGTCTGTGCTCGGGATTAGCGTTCAGAAATCGAGCACCTCTGAAACTTGGAACCCATCTGGCCTTGGAAGAAGATGGAAGAGGGCAGTTTGGGCTGCAAGGTCGGCTCAGTCCACACCTGCAAATGGTGTCTTTTATGGGAAGAAAACACAGAGCTCTCTTCCACCCGAGGGAGAGAAAAGGGAAAAGGATGGACAGAAGAGTTTGGATTGGAGAGGGTTAAGTTTACAATTTTATAAATGAAAAAAGTACACAAAGTATGCTTTGGTACTTCATTTGTGCAATGCGGTTAGGTTAGATGAAAACATTCCTCTGTTTTCTCTCGTTGCTCATTTTTTGGGTGATTGGTATCTGTTTCTGGACTTCCCTGATCCAGATCTTCTTCCCCTTAGCCTTTTGTGGTGGCCACCGTGGGCCGTCTCATGCAGTGTCTGTAGCTTTTGTTAGGGCTTGAGTCCTGGGAGGACCTCCTGTAGAAATAATAGTGCATTTGTTTTTGGTTTTGTTTGTGGTTTTGGATGTGTGAACATGATGCCTGTTATTTTTAAGCACTGTTGTTCCTTGTGATTTTAATGCTCTTATGTGCTTCACTGGTTGCAAAGTAAGTGGCAAGATATTAAAATCCCAACTTTGACAGTAACACTTGCCTCATCCTCTGTGTACCTTAGCTGCCAGGAAGCTGCAGACTAGACTCAGTCACAGCATCTCTGTTAATTAACTTGAAGTTTTTGAGTATTTAATTTCCCCTCTATCTTTGGGGATTTTTAAAAGCTTATTGTTCAGATGGTCTTATTATATTGGGTATTTTAAATGCTTCAAATTAATTTTGGAAGAAGGTGTAGTTTAAAATATTAAGTAAAAGTTTTGGTTGTTTTTTCAGCGGCACATTCATAAATGCCATCCTCACACGGTGAGCGTGGCTGTGCTGCAGCTCAGCTTTCCATGACCGGGTTTCCCTGCGTCCTGTTTGCTCCCCTTGAAATGCCACAGAGTTGGCACTGAGGACAGCACCAGCTCCGTCTGCATCTGGTCTGTCACGCTGGTTTTTGAGATTGAAGGTGCTGAGGATGCTGGACCCTTCAGGTCATGAGTGACCATCAGGCCAGTGCTGAGTAGTGGTGTGGGCAGGCAGGGTGGGCTCCCAGTGGATGCTCTGCTGACATCTGCATCAGATGCCCCACCCCAGGGCATTGGTCAGGGGCTCCAGCTGCACTGGTCCGAAGCAGTTGTCTTTCTGGCGGGGGCAGTGCTGCCGTATGCCGGCGCACTTCTGTTGGGGTAGAGAATGCTATTTGTTTCTTGGTTGTTTTGACGTCTCCAGAGCTGGGGTGCTGATGGATTCTCTGCCAGCTAGCGGGTGCTGCCAGGGGGTGGTGGTCCTAGGCAGAGGGCAGCTGTGCTCATCCGCCTTTGCATGGCTCAGACAAGGCTCCTTGCCCCTGGGTGAGAATCTCAGTTGGAGGAAGAAAGAGTCTCTTCTGTAGCTTTGCAGGGAAGGATTAGTGAGAAGTTCAACCATGGCTCTCTTTAGACAAATGATGAAAAACCTGATTATCTCAGCAGCACCTTCCCACCTGTTCCCAGGAGGCCAGACGTGTGATGCCAGGAGGCACGAATGAAGAATGAAGACCTCACAGACCTCTTGTGACAGCCATGCATTCGTTCCCCACTCGGTTGCACGGCGCCATCAGGGCTTCAGCCTTCCGAGACGTCGCTTCTAGCAAAACAGGTTGCTAAGTTTGAGTCCATTTGAGGGCAGTTCAAGGACAGGGCAAGTTAGAGGCTAGTAGCAAGTTCCCTCATGTCAACTCTCTATCTCTGCTTTTCTAGCAAAAGTCCGAACTTCAAGTCCACTTGACAGCGTAGGATGAAAAGACAGTTTATTCCCCGCAAGTCCAAGATTTATACTGGACTGGAGAAGAAATAAGGGGTGAGACAGAGGCCAGGCTGGAAGAGTTTATTCAGACACACAGTTAAATTGTAACCTTGATGTGAAAGTAGGTGCACTGTTTAAAACCAACTTTCACCTAGGGAAGGGTGTCAGCAGTAATGGTTCGTGGAGCCGATTTGGGCAGCAGTAATGCACGTTGGAGGCAGCAAGAAAAGTGGCACAAAGTTCCGGATCTGGAGCTGACAGGTTTCCTCAGCCCTGAGTTGTCTAAAGCTGACTTTGCAGTGTGACCTGAGCGGCAGGTGCTCTCACAGAAGGTGAGCTCTGCTGGACGCCAGCCTCGGCACAATGGCTCTTGGAAGATGAGAGTCTTCTTACAGCATGACTTGGTCCTTTTGGTGGCTCAGTCACACTTCCCGCAGGAGAGGGCCAGCCTGGCTGAGCCTGTATTTCTCCCTCCCCCATGGAGTCCTCCTGCTCCCCTCTGGCTCCCGGAGTCCACAGACCTCTGCATCTCCCTCCAGCAGCCCACCTCTCGTGTGCCAGGCAACGCCTTGGTGTTAACCTTACAACCTGGTTCTAACTGAGAAGTGTTAATAACCCCAGCTACTTATAACTCACGCACCACAAGCACTTCAGATTCATAGCTCATTTAATTTGCCCAAACCTGGAGATGTCTGCATATGATCCCCAGTTTGAGAAAGTCAGCACCGAGCAGCACACTTTGACCCGGGTCTTAACTCAGCCCACTCTGTAACTGTGGAGAACACTACTTTTGAGAACAACCAAGATCACCTGGTTTCATTTCTATGAGTTCTTTGCACATGGAGGGAATCAGCCCTCTGATGTGTATGTTACAAATATATCTCCTAGTTCTTTAGGAAGACATCTCTTCTGCCCTTAGATACGGGGTAGCTTTTTTCCTCTCTTGGCTGTGTGGATATTGTTCCCCTTGGTGTAGAAGAAGGAATTCCTGTGTGGCATTTGCTAGCAGGATATTTAGCTTTTTCATCCAGCACCGACCTGAGTGATTTAGCACCCTGTGCCTGTTTTCATACAAAACACACCTTTTTCACATGAACCAGAGAGGGAATTCTTGATGATCTTCCGTGTTTTCAACACTTCAGACAAGGTTCTCAGCTGAGATTCCGTCTTGCTTCGCTTCCTGAGGCTTAGGATCAATATGGGGGCAGAGGCTGGAGAGAGTGAAGGACATACGGCCGGAGGGTGAGGCACTGGCCAGCACACACCTGCCCAGAGCCTCACCTGTCTTGTTTTCCTCCATGCCCCCTTAGTGGCTGGGCACAGGCCAAGGTAAAAACACACAGGGATGGAGATAAGGAAGATCTGGGAATGCTGCACAGCCTGGGCCCTGCCTGGCAGAGCCCTGGGGCATTTGCCCATCACTTTTATAACTCCAGAGCCTTGTTTCCTGAGTGACCCCCTTACCCTGTCTGAAGTCATCCCTGTAGCGACAGCTCCCAGAGCTGCCAGGTGCATCTGATTCCGGCCAGCGACAGGATCTCAAACGTCCTAAAGTAGAGATGACTGAGGATTGGCCGCAGAAATGGAGATGGTGTGTCCTAAACAGCCCTCGGTTTTGGCTGAGTTTCACTCCTTGGCTGGTCACCTGGCCTTTGTAGGATGCTGAGGTGGGGGCCTCTGACCCCCTCCTAGTTCTTTCCCTCTCCTCATCATCTCCAGGTGCCCCTTTCTCACCGCTGCCCCGGCCAGCTTGGCCTGGCTTCTCTACTGCTGTCTTCATTTGGGGTGAAGCCCACGGTTCGCTGGCTTTTGACTCCACTTGGCCGCTCAGATCAGGGCACATCTGCGGGCCTCCTGGCACGGAGGAAGGAGTCAGCATCATTGTCCTGGCATGGCCATGTCCTGCCGACATCCCAAGTATGTGCATGCCACCTCTGGCTGTGAGCTTCTCCGTGGTCAGTGTCCAGAGGAGAGCACATTTGTGTTGCACCGCAAATTCTAGGTATTCTCATGGCAAGTCCTGAATTAGCATAATGCTACCAGGCTCCTAAAAGTTCTTTAGTTTCTTGCAATTCTGTGTTAAAACAGCCAGTTAAGGCATTTTTGGAGGTTAGCGTCATCAAGCCTATCGGCGTGTTCCGTAAGAGTTTGAATCATGTGAGCTGTTTGGCAGCCCTCATCAGCTGTTGGCATCAAGGTTTCCATTTAAGACAGACACCACAGAGTTAATGGTTGTCATCTGATCTGAAATGGCTCCAGTAAGTCTTTCTCCCTCATCAGACTCCTGCTGATGCACACAGGCACCCTCCCCAGCGTCTCCTCTCTGTTCTCCCGCAGAGGAGAAAGTGCTGCTGGCCTTCCCTGTTTCCGCCACAGAGGATCCTCCCCGGCACGGGTGCTTCTGTCTGCAGCAACCGGAGAAGACACAGCAGGCTGGGGGGAGGAATTGTCCTGTGGCCTCAGTCACTCAACAGCCAGAGGAGATGGTGCCCCTGGCTGCAGACAGCCCTAGGTCTGGCAGGAGCAGTGCAGCCACATGTCTGGCACGTGGAGGACGTCAGGCCGGTGCCACCTACCACACTGCTGGGTGCCTCCCACTGTGGCAGCAGAAACACCCCCATTCCCAGAGGGGTGCGCACCCTCCGTGGCCTCCCTCGTGCCACGCAGAGGGCTGTGCTGGACTGGTCCCTCAGGGCCCGGAGACACTCAGGCTTCTTTCTTGGTACCTCCTGCCCCTTCCCTACCCCTCATCCTCCTTCTTGGTACATCTGTCAGTTACAGAGGAAGACTGCTGTGTCGAGTGCATAAGAGTGGGTTCTTGGTGTGTTTCAAATCTCAGTGAGGGCTGGGCATGGTGGCTACACCTGTAATCTTGGCAGTTTCTGAGGCTGAGACAGGAGGATCATCTGAGACCAGGAGCTTGAGACCAGCCTAAGCAACATAGTGAGATCTCCTCTCTACAGAAACTTAAAAGTTATCCAGATGTGGTAGTACACACCTGTAGCCCTAGCAACTCAGGAGGCTGAGGTGGGAGGATTGCTTGAGGCCAGGCGGTCAGACTGCGATGAGCCATGATTGTGCCACTGTACTCCAGGTTGAGTGACAGAGCGAGACCCTGTCTCTTTAAAAAAAAAAAAACATCACTGGGGGATGGTAGGAAGGGTGTCTCAGGAGCCCACAGGCCCCCTGCCCGCACCCTGTCCCCAGGTGGGAGGCATGTCGTCCTGTGATTCACCATCTTCAAGCCTTCAAGCACTTTCTCCTTTGCTTTATTTTGTTTAAATAAAAAAAATTGCCCCTTAGGTGAATGAAGAGTGTGATGGTCCACTAGGCACCTGGTAAAAATGCAAAACCAGTAGTGAAGGCCTCAAAATAAATAATGCACCTGGGAGGACTGTTAGCGAAGCTCTGGTTGTGGCCTGCTGCGATGTCCTTGGCAGTTCTTAAGATTAAATTATCATTATGTATTCTTTGAAGTAAGAGTTTCTTTTCTGAGTACCTTTGCCGTCAGGGCCCAGCAATTCTCTCTGCTCCTGTGGCTGCGATGCACGCGCTGTCTTGGGAGGGCTCTCGGCCGCTGCACACCTGGCCCTGCCTTCCACCCGCAGGACAGCCGTCGGTGCTTGAGGACCAGGCAACACAGTCGTGGGTGACCCGCAGCTCTTTCAAGGAAACTCTGTAATCCGTGTTCTTTTCCTTTTCTGAAAATGCTAAGTGGACTCATGGTTACTTTCAGCTCAGAGTCATTTTCCCAGTTACTTTGCAGGTTTGAGAGATGCGGCTTCATCTGCCTTCTCTGTGGCCCTCGCTTCGGGTTCAGTTTCCTCTGCTGCTGGGCTGCTCTTTCTGCAGCTTCGTCCTTGCTGTTGGATGATGCTCAGAATCAGCTTTCCCGGACAGCTGCCAGGCTCGTGACCTCGTGTGAATTGGTGAAGGGGAAAACTGGACAGCAAACACATCTAGGAATATTTTCTCTTTCTGTTTGCAGAGTCCGCTTAGTGGAAAGAGGATCCCCTCATAGTCTGCCCCTGATGGAATCGGGAAAGGTAAGTATTATAGGAAGAGGCACGCATTTCTGTATCCGTTCGCTTCTGACTGTATGGGCTTTGAAATTTTAGGAAATGTATTTTTTAGAATGTTTTTTCCAAAACAATTTCTTGAAAGTAACATATCAGTGAGTATAGAAACTCAAAATAACAGTGTTTTAAACAAGTTAGACTTTTTTCCTCAGGTAAAAGTTAGGAAATAGGCATCTCCTCCTCCATGAAGCCAGCAGAGGCCCTGGTGCCTTCAGCCTCGTTCTGCGCATTGGAGCCCAATTACCAGGGGCCCCTCAGGAGCTGAAGCGGCTGCTTCCGCTCCAGCCATCATTTCCACATTCCAGCCAGCAGGAGGAGAAACAGAAAAAGAAGAGAACAAAGCATGCAGACCATAGAGAAGGTTCCCAAGCTGTCCTACACTGAAATTCCATTGATCAGAATGTGGTCACATGGCCACACCTAGCTAAAGGTTGGGAACTATTGAGATATCAATTCTGAATATGTAAAGGCCTACCTAAAAATCAGGGTATCTATTACTATGAAAGTAGAAAAGAATGGTTAACAAGAGACAACCAGTAGTTTCTGCCACAGTGGGTGTGTTTTTTGTTTCTGTTTTTGTTTTTTTGTTTTTTTACTAGAACTAAAGGGCAAGAAAGATATTTAAACACCTAAATAAAGACTCTTTTTTTTTTTTTTTTTTCCGTTTCGGCCCCAGTTGTCAGATTCCTTCTCCATTGACATAATTCTAAGAGCATCTCATGTTGCTTCTATTATAAAGTTGCCTGCATGGCTGCAAGTTAGAATGCTTCACAGAGTTGGTTCCAACAGTAGGAATGTGCTCACCATCCATCCTAACAGTCTGGCGGACCATAGTCAGCAGCAGAATCCAGAGCCCTGAAATCTCACTTCAGACTTAAGTGAGATTTAACAGTGTGACTATTCCAAGACGTTCTGTGTTTTTACCATAAAATGTTTTGCCTTTATCTCAATCATAAATGTTAGATGAGCTGATCTGAGGCAGGCTATATTCAGGATTTCCAGAATAAACCTTTGATTCCTTATATAAGTGGTATCAGTGGAATGTGAGATATTTCTAAGGTAAACTTTAAGAAGGAAATTCTGGCCAGAGCCAGTGTCTCATGCCTGTAATCCCAGCACTTTGTGGGGCTGAGGCTGGAGGGTTGCTTAAGGCTACAGTAAGCTGTGATCATGCCACTCCAGCCTGGGTGACAGAACTAGACCCTGTCTCAAAAAAAAAAAGAAGGAAATGCTTAGTACTGACATCTATTACAGTAAAAGATGTTTACCTGCAGGAAAAAGTTCCCCAGTATCTTGAGTTGAAAATTCGGTGGAGATGAGCTGGAGATCCACACGGACGTTCTAACGAAAACCTGCAGACTTCACCAGCAGTTGACCCACAATCTTTCCCTTCTGGCACCACCAGAGCAGCTGCCTACTATATCATTTTGCCAAAAGCATTTTGGGTTATCTTCGAGTCCATGCTTACCCCTGAAAACGTCACTATGTGACTCCCTTCCTTCAGCGATTACTGCAAGCATCACCCTCCATCCATGTGTGTGCCATGATGTGAGATGTAATATTGACTCTATGTAAATATCTTAAATAACTTCATTGAAACAACTGAAAATTCCCATTTTTCAAGGTCAGGCTGTGTTAAACATTATATCATTTACCATGTTTTTGTTCAAACATTATTTTCATGATTTTCAATAGATTTCTCTTAGCTTTATTGAGGTATGACTGACAATCAAAATGTTTAATTTTGAGGTCACCATAACAGCATACAATATTGACAGTTACAGTGAGAATGTGATTGTGAGGCTGTGATTGTGAGGCTGTGGTTGTATAATGGGTCATAACTATGTGGCATATAGTTTTGATTTAATTGCTTTCTAAACAGTCTTGAAAGGAAATGGCATAAAGATGAGATTGAGGTTGGCTTGTGTGTAGTCTCTCCCTGTATTCCTCCCATTGACAAGAGACTTTTCCTCTCCCAAATAGATACTTCCAGGGGTTCGGATTATAATTGCCAACCCAGAAACAAAAGGACCGCTGGGGGACTCACACCTTGGAGAGGTGAGTTGAGTGTCCTCCGAGATCCAGGTTACTTTTCTGTTATGTATCCTTGGCTTGCCTTGACACCATCAGAACTGCTCACATGCCCTCCATCTGCCACACACCGGTTTGAGCTGAGTGAGTTATGATTGCCTGGGAAATAGCGTGAGGTAAGCTTTATGGCTCAAATGAGTCCATGAAAGCTCACAATTACAAAATGGCACTTCCTTAGGGAAGTATAATAGATTGTCCTCAAATAATTCTGAAAAGATTTAAACACATAATGTGTATGGACTGAGTTTCTTTATTTCTTGGCTCTTGAGTTTGCTTTCCACGTTCCTGCTTTTATTACTGAGAAGTCCTTCACCAGGAAAGTGGCAGAGACCTCCACAGGAAGTAGTGTACAAACAACAGCATCAGGACACAGTAGCCAAGAGATCATGTGTTTATTTCAGATCAGAAAGCAAACAGTGGAACTTGACACCTTTGCCTCATTGTGTTCAGAATGAGCCCGCCCTGGCTGGCTCTTAACTCCCTGCCACTGTGCCCCTCCGCACTGGCGGGATGCAGCTAGAGAAAGACGCCTCGTGGAGCTGTGTGGCCTTGGTCTCCTCTCTTGACACCTCATCTCAAGCAGGCCCTGGCACTGCTGGGCGTCCCCAGTCCGAGAGGCCACTTGTCTCATGCGTCCTCCTTCCGCCGCATTCTCTCTGGCACTGAGCTTCCTGCTTCTATGAGGAAGCAGAGGGCACTGGAGAAGAGCATGTCTGGAGCCAGCCTCCTCCCACGGTGGCAGCACGTGTGCCCTCCCTCCGGTTACCCCGGCCTGCCGTGCCGTTGGACAAAGCCCCATGTCTGGCCAAGGACACCCTCACTCCCCTTATCACCTGTCCTGTCCCATGAGGCGCCCCCCTTCCTGAATGGCTCCCAGCAGCACATGTGGGAGGCGTGCTAAGAACTGGCATCTTATAAACAGCACCAGCCCTCCTCCTCCTCAGCCCTGGACGCATCCCCAGCACATGCAAGAGCACGTTTCTACACGCACGTGGGTGAACACCTGACCAATGAGCAAGCCCTCCCCAGTTCTCACGTCCCAGCTTGCTTTGCTTCTTGGGCCTTGTGTTTTTTTTTTTTTTTTTTGGCCCCTCACTTGACCTCTCTCAGTCACATACATGAAAGATCAGAACTGCGGAGATAAAATTCTGTGCAGCTCTCACTTAGGAGTTTCCTTTAAATGTGTTCCTAGAAACAAAGCTGGAAGCAGAGCCTGCTTCTCCGGCACCTGGAGGGTGTCCTCACGGGTGCTGCCCGAGACGTAGGCTGGGCCAGGGTCAGAATTCTCTTCCCTCTGAGGGTGGCCAGAACTGGCGAAATTTCCAGGGTGACTTTCTTATTAAGAATGTGTGTTTTTTCCGCTTTATGAGGTTAATTGAGAAAGTTATATAAATTAAGGAATGCACTGTGATGCTTTGATGTATATACATATTATGAAACAGTTACCACGACCGAGTTCTATTATCCATCAGCTCACATTGTGTGTGTGTGTGTGATGAGAACATTTAGGATCTATTCTGTTATCAAATTTCAATTAAGTGATATAGTATTATTAACTGTAGTCACCGCACTACATTTTCTCCCCATAACCTGTTTGCCCTCTAACTGAGGGTTTGCACCCTTGCCCGTCATCTCCCCCTTGCCACTCTGAAGTCCCGGCTAACCACCGTTTACCCTCCGCTTCTATGAACTCAGCTTTTTAGATTCCACATGAGTGAGGTGGTGCAGTATTTGTCCTTCTCTGTTCTGGCTTCTCACTCAGCACAACGTCTTCCAGGTACATCCATGCTGTTGCAAATGGCAGCATTTCCTCCTTTTTTATGGCTGAGTAATATTCAGTTGCCTTAATGAGAATTTTCTTTGTGTTAGGGAACAGAGGACGGCTGTCATTTCCCTGATCTGATGGTGCACTGTCTCTCTCAGTTTCACTTTTTCATTTGTTGTGCAGGCAGTGAGTGCCTGCCATATGTGAGGCACTGCTCTGGGGACGTGGGTGCAGTACTAAACCAGTTTCTGACTTCCTGGAACTTGACCACTTTTCATTGTCAGTAAAATAATGGAAACAGCCAAGCCCAGAATGTCTCCACAGCAAACACTCCAGAGTCTACAAGGCCCTGCCTCTCCTGACCCTTGCTGTGTGGGCACAGCTGCGTGGGCATCTGTGGAACTTCACTGGTTTTGCTTTTACCCAGCCCTGTCCATGGTTCTCCGTAACCCACGTGGCTATCGCTTTGACTCACCATATCAGTCTTTGCTTACCTATTTCCCCAAATGTCAGACATCAGGCATTTTCGTTTCCGGTTTTTGGTGTTATGTGCCTTCATCCCTTAGGTTTTGTTTTTCTGTGTGTTGTTTTATTGCAATATATGTCCAAAAGTATTAGCTAACCAGGTGAAATGAGAAAAGAAATCTCAAAGCTTTTCAGCATTGTTCTTGCTCTTTAGAAATAATCATTCGTTAAAGTGTAAGGAATCTAGTGTGACTTTGTTCATTTGATGTGTATATTTTTAAAACCTATTTGTTAAATCTTCAACTAATCTGCTTTAATTCAGTTCCCCATAGGGATGCCTTGGCTGGTTGCTTGGCCACAAACTTGGTAGACTGCCTTTATTTCAGTATCCTCTGTGTGTCTCTCGAGAAACCCGAATGAGATTAACATCATCTTGGTTATTCAGTCCAAGGAAACGTTTACTATCACTGAATATAATGTACTGAATTGTCAAAGTAGTTGTAGTCTCATTTCCCTGGAGATAAAATAATGTCATCCACAGTGACATTTCCCTCCGTTTGCAGATTTGGGTTCACAGTGCCCACAATGCCAGCGGTTATTTCACTATTTACGGAGACGAATCCCTCCAGTCAGATCACTTCAACTCAAGACTAAGTTTTGGAGACACCCAGACCATCTGGGCACGCACAGGCTACTTGGGGTTCCTGCGGAGAACTGAGCTCACAGATGCAAATGGAGGTGAGAGTCCAGGCTGGCGGCCCCCCCCCAACAGATGGGCAGAGAGGTTAGGCTCCTGTAGATACAGAAGCCTTTCCCAAGGTTTACAGCAGCCAAAGCCAGGAGGGCACGTGTGCTAGCTACAACCCAGTGTGAAAAGAACCGAGTTTAAGAGCAAGAGGAAAGCAAAATGCAAATGTGTCCAACAAGCTGAGCTGTGCATCACATACCCTGTCCTGTCCTGAGAACCAAGAGCTGACTGAAAACCGGAGAGGGGCATGGCTGCTGAGCATGGGCTGCAGTGTCACCCACAGCAAAGTGCTCAGAGTCTCAGACCACAGAGTCTCCTCAGCAAGCCTGAAGGCTGCCTGCTCCCACGGGGTCCATCTGAGACAGAAGCTGTCCCAGTGGCTGCAGGAACGTGCATGCTGCTGCTTCTAGGACTGGGTCTGCCCCTGTCAGGGAAGAGGAGGCCGCGAGGCTCTCGGGCCCTGGTGGCCAGCTGTCTCTGCCCATGCATTCATCAGAGAGTAGGGCCTGGTGCTGCTGATGCTGGTGCCTGGTGTGGAGCAGCCAGGTGGACAGCATTGCCTTTGCCCCATCAGAGGAGAGCAGGGTGAAGCCAGGGGTATTTCATGACATGGACATGTAAAAGTGCACTTGTATAGTTAATTCTTTGCTTATTCCAGAATCCTTTCTCACCTCCTTAGTTCTGCTAAAAATAGAGGCAGGACTTGGCTGTTTCACAACAGTGGCAGTTGAGGTTCCTGGTGAGATCTTGACTCACCAAAACCTCAGGGAGATGAGTTTGCAGACATCAGTAAGGCTTCCTTACATACCTCTCTAACATACCTACAATGGCCTGGCCCAACAGGCTATGTTTAGGAATCATACAGAAATATCCTGGCATGACATTTGCATTGTGGGAAATTATAGACTAGTTTGAGGCTACTGCCTGAGGTTCCTGGAAGCTGCAAAAGCTGGTGGCAATTTATAGTCCTAGAGAAAGGCCAGGAAAGCCACGTCCCGCTGAGTCCTGGAAGCAGGGATACCCTGAAGGACGTGTCCCTGCCACAGGAGAAGAGGCAAAGCTGCTGTAGGGGGCAGAGGCCGAGTCAATGTCTCCATCTTTCTTTGTCTGATTTAAATTAGAAAATACTTATCTCTGTCTACGGCCATACCACCCTGAACGCGCCCAATCTCGTCTGATCTCGGAAGCTAAGCAGGGTCGGGCCTGGTTAGTACTTGGATGGGAGAAAATACTTAACTCTGATGTTATTTTATATGTCAATCATGCCTTTCAAATTTTCCCTAATATGCTTACTACCTTATAAAAATTTAGGACATATTTCCTTATTAAGGAAAGATAGGACCTGACCACTTGTTGTCATTGTCATTATTCTGAGGTTTGCAAGAAGGATAGAAATAAATTTCCTGGCTCTATGAGCTAAGGAAATGTTCATGAACAAGAGCAAGAGCTATGCTTTCTTTTCCCACTTATACACAGAATTAGTAGCACAGAGAAGCATGTGTGGGATAGAGTCACAGAGCTGGTCTGACTGTGGCTGCACTGTATCCCGTGTGATCTTGGGCAGACGAGGCCTCAGCCGATGGGTCCACGGAACTCAGACCGCTGGGTGCCGACTTCGCCCCTCAGTTGCTCCCGATGAACATGCAATCAGGCAGTTGACTGGATATCGAAGCTGAGCCAGGAAAGATCTTCTCCCAAAGCACAAGTGTAGAGGGCGCATGGCGGCTTTGCAGCCAGCCTGTGGGGTACTGGCACACGAGCCGAGCACTTGCCAAGGAGCTCCGTGGCAGAAGGAAACAAACGTCCCTGGATCCGTGAGCCCCTTCCTTTGCATCCCTGTCTCACTTGGGGGTCGTTTTTAATCTTTTTTTAAGAAAAGAAGGAAACGGCTTGAGCGGCATTATGGGGAAGCTTACGCAGGCTGTCATTACTCCACAGAGCGCCATGATGCCCTCTACGTGGTAGGGGCACTGGACGAAGCCATGGAGCTGCGGGGCATGCGGTACCACCCAATCGACATTGAGACCTCGGTCATCAGAGCCCATAAAAGCGTTACGGAATGGTAAGTCGTGAGCTTGCAGCTTGTACCCAAATCAGGAGCAGAGTTTGTGAAGCATTGAGAATGTGGAGAGCACGGCGGTGGAGGAGAGTTTTGTTAAGGTAGGGAAGGGGGTGCGATTCAACATTTGACTATAAATCTTTATCTTTTGGGGTTAAAGCAACAAAAGAACATGCCACATGTAGAGTTAATGTACCATATATTACCTGAAAACGATAGACTTCTATTGCCGTGAAAACTACTTGACAACATTTTCCAGGAAGCCAAATTGTTTGGTTTTTAATTTACAAAATCATGATATAGGAAGAAAACAAACCTCACACATATGTAGGCACAGAAAATACTTTTATGACTGTTGACTTGGGAACTGGAAGTAACATGAGACATGGGAAAACTTCAGTGAGAAGGAGAGGCAGCGTTTGTCCAGACCCCAGAAGAGACTTCCAAAGGAAGAATTGCTTGAGTTAAGGCTGACAGTGACAAGGTGTGTGCGTCGCACCTGCTGCCTGGGGGCAGACTCTGCTCTGGGCCCAGGTGAGGACTCTGAGGCTGGGACTTTGTCTTTCTCTCTGGCCCATTTAATCTGTTGTGAAGTGCTGAGTATGTCAATGGTGCTGCCGGAGATTCAGCAGTAGGTTCTTCTGAGGTGTGGGAGTGGATTGGATGCTGGAGTGCCGTAAGTTAAGTCGGCCAGGGCCGGGGAGTTTTACAGGCTTGTTCAGTGCCTTTAGATTGGCAGTTTGGATGAAAAGTGACTCAACACCGTTGGCTTTAGACTTGTTCATTCCCTTGATAACAGACCGGGTGCTAACTGAGGGGCACCTGGTGAAACTGGTCTCAGTCTCAGGTCAGAAACCCTGAGGGAGGTATGTTCTGCACTCTCATGAACAGCTCTTCTGGGTTGAAAGGATGGGTTCTGAGATTGTTCCTTCCTCCTCTTAGCTAGCTGAGATGCAATAAAGGCTGGTACTTACTGCCATTTGCTGAATTTGAACACTAAGGCCTTGGCAGAATTTACAAGATCAAGTCTGCATACCTGTCCGTGTTCGTGTGGCTCAAGTTGGCTAAGCCCCTACTCTCAAAAGTCCTCAGATTGTCGATTTCCTTGACACTTCTCTCCTTGAGTATACAGAGAAGACAGAAACTCTAGGAAGACTTTGGCCCAGAAACTCGGCCAGGGCCTACCTTATTTTCCGTCTAAATAGCTACGAATATCAGTTACAGCCTTCCGTTTTTGTATTTTTAAGAAAACAATTTTAATTGGCTTGTGTGACCTCCCTCAAGCATTTTCTGTCTGGTTTCCCGCTAAAAGGTGTGCATCGAGGGCCTCGCTGGTGCCCTCTGTGGGCTTCTAGACCGTGGTGCTTATTCTGTAACAAATGTCGCTGCTGTTACCTGCCATGTGACCCCCAAACTGGATCTGTCCCTCACCGGGTCAGGGGCTCACATGCCCCTTGCCCACACAGTGTCCTTTGAGTGGACTTTTGAATGTTTGAGATGATCCAGGTACAAACTGCTTTGCTCCACCTTCCCTCTCCCAGCCTCCCTGCACTGCCCCTTGGGGCCACCATCGGCTGCTCCATGCTGAGAAATGCGGCTGTGACACCCAGCGCTGTGGAATGGGACTCTCCATGTTGCCAAATTCAAGCCAAACAAACTTTCTCATTTCTCATCAGTTGTTCTCAGCATTAAATAGCGTGCACAGCTCCTGTAAAAGCTCTGAGAGTCACTGGCACCACCCCATAGGTCCCTGGCAGAGGAGATAGTGGAGCAAGCACACCCTCGGCCAGCTCTGTTCCTCCAGAGAGCCAAGCTGATTCCTCCGGAGAGCCAAGCAGATTTGGATACTCTAGGACTATTCCATACATTTCAAATGCCGTAATAAAAGTATACCAAATGCGCCTGAGACGTCTATATCTGTGATATGACAGATTCACAATGTGGGCTCACATGGGCCATGTAGAGCAACATTTTAACATCACCAGGAGCAGTATGACAGGAATTAAGCGCCAGCACGTCCTCTGGGAAACAGCTCTTAGCATGCTCCATAGGCATGCGGCAGTCACAAAGCAAAATCCAGGAGAACTGTTGAGAATTTCCAGGAAAATTCTCCAATTTTCCCTTTCAATTTAACATAGGTTGGCCATACTGAATAAAATATGCGTTTTTTTCCTAACTGACTTACTCTCCCACTTAGAACAATAGTGAGTTTCCTAAAATATCTCCTGCCTCAAGCTGGGATAGAACATGTTTGTCAGGTGCGTGAGAGCAGATACGAGCAGCCCTGGAGCCTGGTCTCCATCCAGCCCACTCTGCCCGGGAACCTTCTGGCCTCCTCAGCCAAGCAGACCTCAAGTACCAGGCTCTGTGAATGTCAGGGCCCTTAAACAGTTAGTTCCAAAAGCCATTAAATATCCTTTAAACTGTAAAGCACCGGGTTTTTGCTTCTGCCAGTTGGGCAGACTTAATCCTCTGGTGCCTGTCCTGCTGAAAGATGACTCGATCCCAGATAAAACATTTCTGAGTGAATCTTCCATATTCCAGAAGACTTTTCCCTGCACATGGGTTAGCCATGGCTGTATGGCAGCCAGCCCATGCTCAGTGCTTTAGAGAGAGTTGTTACAATGTCCCCACATCTGCGTTCAAGGGGCTGGCTCAGCTGGGGCAAGCAGCTTAGCTGGGCACAGGACTGGTGGCTCTTCTCCACGTGTTTCTTATCCTCCGGACCCAAGGGCCAGCCCAGGTGTGTCCCCATCCTTGCAATGGCACAGGCACGCCAGGAGAAGCCCCCATATCCAGCCCTCCTGGAGCCTCCACCGGCATTCATCTCCCTAACACAGGCTGACCAGGTTCCATGCTGAGCCCAAGCCCCAGGACTGGGAAACACACCCCCACTCAGGCGCACTGCACAGACAGAGGAGCAGGCACCCATGCCCTTGGCCTCCGCACGCACGGCCCTCAGCAGCAGAGCTGGACTCGGGTGCACAGACAGAGAGGAGTAGGCACCCATGCCCTAGGCGTCCACACGCACGGCCCTCAGCAGCAGAGCTGGACTCGGGCGCACAGACAGGAGTAGGCACCCATGCCCTCGGCGTCCACACGCATGGCCCTCAGCAGCAGAGCTGGACTCGGGGCCACCGCACAGACAGAGAGGAGTAGGCACCCCTGCCCTCGGCCTCCGCACGCACGGCCCTCAGCAGCAGAGCTGGGGGTCTGGAAGCAGGAGGCACAGGGCTGCCTTGAGGGTACGAGGCTGATGGCACACTGCACTGTTCAGTGAGGGCATTGGTCCTCCAGGCAGCAGCAAAGAGGCAGCACTGGAACACAGACTCCGCTGGCCAGGTGGAGTGATGCTGTGCTAGAAATGGGAACTCGGGAAGATGGTGAAACAGTCGCAGAAGCCACCGAGAGAGAAGGCTGGTAGGAAACACCGACAGGTGCTGTCGCCAGGAAGTCTGTATGGGGAACGATTAGTGGGCGGCAGACGGAGGACGTGGAGAGGCCGGAGGAGACTGTCGGGCAGTGCTCAGGCAGGTCAGAGAGAGCCAAGTGGAACTTTGAAACCACGGCTATTAAATAAAGCATTAATAAACATATAATGATGGCTTTCTTTTCTGTCTTTTAGTGCTGTGTTTACCTGGACAAATTTGTTGGTGGTTGTGGTTGAGCTGGATGGGTCGGAACAAGAAGCCTTGGACCTGGTTCCCTTGGTGACCAACGTGGTCCTGGAGGAGCACTACCTGATCGTCGGAGTGGTGGTCGTGGTGGACATCGGCGTCATCCCCATCAACTCCCGTGGGGAGAAGCAGCGCATGCACCTGCGAGACGGGTTTTTGGCAGACCAGCTAGACCCCATCTATGTGGCCTACAACATGTAGTCTCGTCTCTTGGCTTCCATGGACTTTTCTAGAGATGTAGACATTGTTCTCCGTGTCCACTGAAGCGTGCAGACACAGGGCAACACTCACCAGAATACAGCCATTTGTGGTGAGAGTGGAGGAGGAAGAGGAGGAGGAAGAGGACTTCTCACAGCAGCCACGATTGGCATGGGGGTGAAATGTGAATTTACCACTGAATTTCGCTCAGAAGGACTTTGGATTACTGCCTTCAGTTTGTTGGAAAAGCCCATTTCAAAACTTTCTTTTCTTTTCTTTCTTTTTTAATTATTGGATAATAAGTGCTTTCTTCGTAAATGTGGTATTTTGTTAAGCCGAAATAGCAATTAAAAAAATATCCTGCCCTCCAGATGGGTTCTTTTAAACAATTTATGTAGTGTGACAAAGAATTGTTTTCTCTGTTTTAATGTGTCATGAAATCTTAATGACATGGATCTGTTACTAATTTAAGCCATTGCTAGATCTCATCCTTTTAGGAAAGTTTGAGGTACGAGAAAACCTTCCAAATAGCACCTTCCAATTAGATAATAGCAGCTTTCTTTGTCAGAAATGTGCTGAAGAAACAAAGGCTGGTATACGGCCTTCGAAGTTAGTATAGAATGAGAAGAAATTATAAATAAGGTGTATTTCGGCAATTATCTTGCAAATATCTTTGTACTAAACTAAAAAGATAAAATAAGTTAACTTCCTCAATATGTAATTATGTACAAAACGTTTAATTTATTTTGATCTCTTTAGAACTATAAAAGAGAAAAACATTCAAGAATATTAAAGTCTTGTAATGTTTGCTAATATAAAAAAGTGTTGTATTATCTTGCGTGGATAGTATCACAACAAATATATATATATGAAATATAAATTCACTAATGAACAAAGGAGATTTTAAAGTTTAAGATGCAGAACTTGTCACTTGCATGGTGTGCCCCCCGTACTCACATACACTCTGCTGTTGCCAGCAGTCGCAGACCGCAGGAGCCCTGTCTAAAAGTTTCTTCTAGAACCAGAGACCAGCAAGTGAAATTATTGCCATCTCAAGGATGGCAAAAGAATTCAAAGCTCAATGTGCACTATTTTTTTCTTTGCTGTGGGACAACAGTGAATGTGTTTATGCCAGCGTGTGCTGATGATACTGAGGGGCTTTAGGTTGGCAAATAGCACTGTTTTCTTAGCTGCAAGAATTCATTGCACAATGTTTTTCATCATTTTTGTTAATGTCATCTTTTTTTGGTCCTTGCTACGAAAAGGAATGCGATTCTGTGGTCATTCGCACTGGGTTGCATTGATTCCCCCTCTGATGGCCAATGTGGAGTGGACAAAGTGTCCGGAACTCACATCGGTGATCGTCCCCTCGTCTTAAGACCCAGCCCGCTCTGTGTGAGCCTCTGGGGCTCCCTCGCTCAGTGAGCACAGTTCCCCGGGGGTTCATGCCAGAGCTCCGGCTGAAGCAAGAAGTCCTCCAGCTGCGTCGTTTGCCGCCTGTGGACGAGTGCGCCCCAGTTTCTGCCCTGGCAGCTCCTGGCCACACCTTCTCAGAGCTCACCTGTGCACTTCTAAATTGAATTGGCCCACGGTGTCCAACCAAGAAGGAGCATCTGCACTCCGAGAAAGATGTGTTCTGTAACTGCCCCAGTGTGACCCCGCAGTGGCTCTCGGTGCTAGATATGCATGACTAAGATTGATGCTGGGCAAAATGTAGATGATCTTTCATTATGTTGTGGGCAGCGTCTTTCTCTGCCTTTGCTATATGCAGTCAGCAGTAAGCCTTTTGCTAAAAGAGTTTTGTTTGACTTCTGAGATCCAAGGCTGATTGTTGTTAAAAAAAAAAAAAAAAAAAAAGTGGCACATTTAAAAAAATGTGTCTGCATATGTGGTGCATCCTTCCATCTCCACAAACCATTTGATTCTTGAAATATTGTTTGACCTCATTGCTGTGTGTGAATATTTCTCCACATGCTTCAGATGCACATTCCTAGTCTCTGCTTCCTAAGGGGGGAACCACCACACATTGGGGGGAAAAAAGACATTTTCCTACACCCACCCACCTTGTTGAAAGGGAGGTAGGTTTGGGGCTTCAGGCCAGGCACTGACTATGAAACATTAGCTGCAGTGTGCAGGACAGCTTTGAGGTCCAGCTGAAGTCAGGAAGCAAAACAAATGTAGATGTCACTTCAAACATAATTTCAACTGTCACCAGATCAACTCTACATTCAAGGAGTGTGGACGCTGCAGTGCAGTTGTGAGGGCAGTTAGCAGCCGCCTCTTCTGCATCCTGTCAACTCTGATTAGTTAGAGTTTAGGCTCAAAAGAGTTGGTGGACTGAGATTGAAATTTGGTTGTGCAAGAGAAAGGAAAGGAGACACTTAGTACCACCAGTTTCAGCAATAAAGAAGGGTCATTCTGTATTCAAAATTGTACTGTAGATAAATCATTCATGAGATTGTAAAAAATGTTTGTCTTGTGACCTTGTGCTTTTGAAGTCAGACAAAACCGTGTAATCAACTTGCACAAAAAGAGGGTACACAGTGAACATATAAACACAGACCTAATCAAACAGGAGCAGATTCCTCATGGTGCTTGTTTATTATATATATTTAATCCTGCTTGACACTTTACCCAAGGGAGATGGTCCCTTTTATCAGTTGAATGTTAGCAGCGTTATTTCAGAGTGTGGTGACTGGTTAGAGAAACTCATGTACTCAACCAGCCACAGTTTCAAACAAAATTTTTATGTGCAAAGGACAGCAACCTTCTTGTATGTTAAACCACCAGTACGCTTTGTACATCTGTGATAACGCCTGTTTTATATTCAAATGAACAAATAAAAGCTTTTATTTTTGTTGCTCTGAAAATAGCAGTTTCTTAATTGGTCCCCTGGAAAGATGTCTGGGACAGCTTTAATCCCGGGAAGGAAGTGACTCCTACAGGGAAATGTATCTGACTCTGTTTACATAATTTGTTGCATTACTTAGTACAGATAATCATACTTTGAAAAATGTTTAAATTTTGATGTGGGCATTTATTGCTAAAAATAATTCCTATGGCAACAAATGTTTTGTGAAATGTTTTTTTTAATTCTTTTAAATATATCTAAATATATTTGTTCACATTTTGCTGCAAGTGTACAGATTATTGGTAATTTGGGGACAAACAGCGTGAGTCCTGTGTGCAAATGCTTTCTATCAGCTGTATCGTAGGGAACCTTTGCGTGTCAGGAAGTACGAGTACTTGACTGTTCCACCCCAAATTGTCTTTATCCATTTGACAACCAAAAGCTGCATCTTTTGCCCAAGATCTGGGAATTCTTATGGCTTTGTCTTTGGGAAAGCAGTAGCAGATCAACTGGCCTTCAGACTAGTGGTTCCATGAAGATAAGTGTTTATTCACAAGAAAAATCAATGGAGCTAGGGCCGGGCACCGTGGCTCACGCCTGTAATCCCAGCAATTTGGGAGGCCGAGTTGGGCGGATCACGAGGTCAGGAGATTGAGACCATCCTGGCTAACACAGTGAAACCCTGTCTCTACTAAAAATACAAAAAAAAAATAGCTGGGCATGGTGGCGGGTGCCTGTAGTCCCAGCTACTCGGGAGGCTGAGGCAGGAGAATGGCATGAACTCGGGAGGCGGAGCTTGCAGTGAGCCGAGATCACGCCACCTGCACTCTAGCCTGGGCGACAGAGCGAGACCCTATCTCAAAAAAAAAAAAAAAAAATCAATGGAACTAAAATCTTCACACATGGCACCAGGTGTAATCTGAGTGCCTTTGTGTTCGAATTTCACTTGCCTCCCCTGACCCCAAACTTTCCTTCAGGACAATCCCACGCTGACTGAGAATGAGGCTTTGGGTGTGTGAAAGTGAACGGCTGGTGTGAGACCTGCAGGGCTGCATCGGATGAAGCAGAAGATAGCGAGGGAGAGATGCTTCTTCACAGGCTCCCGCTTCTCAGATGGCAGCCCTCACCGTGACCGGTCAAGTACAAACCAGGTAACCAGGAGAACTGCTCCCGTGGGGCCTCCTTTGGGCCGTGCATGCGTGCATTCCAGCGCCGGTGTGTGTGTGTGCCAGCGCAGGTGGGTGAGTATAGGATTTGCTACTGTGAAGTTGTGTTCTGCATTCTCCACGGCCCCTCGCACAAGGCTGGGTTCTTAGGATGCAACCAAGAGTAGTTCTGTTGGCTGGCCAGTCCTCGTTTTGTCTTGTGAATCCTCCACGAAACATGTCAGTGCACTCACAATGGTCTGTCCACCTGGACAGAAGCAGTCACACTGCTTCTGTGGAGAGGTTGCTTAGCACAAGGAGTCATTTCCTAACTGCCGCATTTGCTGCGATGCTCAGCTCTGACTGTTGTCTCAGTAGAACTTGCGATTCCTGATCCCTACTGACATACTCAACATTTCTTTCTACCAGAATCTAGAAAGTCATGCTGAGATCCTATACAACCTCTCCTGTAATCCCTGGGTTTTCTTTGTAGAATGAGAATGTCGGCTGGTGTCATTGTCACGTCCCTCTGGCAAAACATATTGCAGGCACAAGCGGCTCAAGTCTAGTGCATACTCTCAGTTGCAGCTCTTGCTGTTTGTTGGTCTGTTATGTTAATTCTATGAACAAAATAACAGGCAAGACCAAGCTGATACCTTAGCAAGTGATGTGGGTTGGCCCCAGTGCTAACGTGGCTTGTCATTCTGCGATGAGGGCATCGTGGGGTGTTGGGAATATGGGCCTGCCCAGCTTGCTTGCTCTAGGGGTCCAGTGGTGTTTCTGCTCTGCACTCCCCAGGTCGCACGCCTGTCTTTACCCCATCTCCAAACGGGACTCGGACTTTCGTGGGCACAGTGAGTTTGTGCCTGAGCTCTAAGGCGCGGTAGCAAGTTCAGCCCCATCTAGAACTGGCATTCAAGGCAGAAATAGGTAGAAATAGAAAGGGCTTCTGTCACTGCCTCTGAGACTTGAGTTTTTTATTTTTTTTTTTTGAGACAGACTCTTGCTCGGTTACGTGGCTGGAATGCAGTGGCGCGATCTTGGCTCACTGCAACCTCCACCTCCCGGGTTCAAGTGACTTTTCTGCCTCAGCCTCCGAGTAGCTGGGACTACAGGTGTCCGCCACCACACCCAGCTAATTTTTGTATTTTTAGTAGAGATGGGGTTTCACCAAGTTGGCCGGGATAGTCTTGATCTCTCAACCTCGTGATCCGCACGCCTTGGCCTCCCAAAGTGCTGCGATTACAGGCATGAGCCGCCGTGCCTGGCCTGAGTTTTTTACTACACCTACTACAAAGACTTCTAGCAAATGACTTCTACAAACCAGCTGGCTCACTCAGATGAGGATCCCAGGTGTGTTTCTTAGAAGCCCTACCAGGGGAGGGAGGGTGCAGGAGGCAGAAAGGTTGAGAACCTTAGGAAGTTTGCTGACACAGCATAGTTGGGCAGAAAACATATTTTGCAGCCCTATTCCAGGAGAGTGTGTGAGAAGCACCTGGAAGTGCGTGTGCCCCTCCCAGGGGGCCCCAGGGAGCTATCCCTTTTTCAGGAGGTGTAGAAGTAGCCAGGTCCAAGTGGATGTCCAGGAATGGGCCTGGCCACTCTTCAGCTGCTGCACGTCTGGGATAGAACAGAGTGGAGGGAAAGGGGTCCTAATTTTTGAGAATGCATGGAATATCCTGAGCCACAAGCCTGGCCTCACAGAACAGATAACCCCCACGACAGTGCATCCTGCTGTCTCTGCTCTGAGCTAAACTGCAGGAGAACCCCGCCTTTAGGGACCTTTTCATCCCAGGAACCCCAGCAACACCTAGGCTCCAGTACTGGGACAAGAATCTGAGCTATTTAAAAATGTGCTTCTGTAGGAAATGATGTCAGAATGCTTGTTTCATAGGTCTGTTCTTTAACAGACAGCTATTCAGCCCCAGCTGTGCAGATCCCACTTCCTGGGAGTGGAGCAGAGGCTCTGCGTGGAGCATCCATGTGCAGTACTCTTAGGTACGGAAGGGATTGGGCTAAACCATGGATGGGAGCTGGGAAGGGAAGGGACCAACTTCAGGCCCCACTGGGACACTGGAGCTGCCACCCTTTAGAGCCCTCCTAACCCTACACCAGAGGCTGAGGGGGACCTCAGACATCACACACATGCTTTCCCATGTTTTCAGAAATCTGGAAACGTAGAACTTCAGGGGTGAGAGTGCCTAGATATTGAATACAAGGCTAGATTGGGCTTCTGTAATATCCCAAAGGACCCTCCAGCTTTTTCACCAGCACCTAATGCCCATCAGATACCAAAGACACAGCTTAGGAGAGGTTCACCCTGAAGCTGAGGAGGAGGCAGCCGGATTAGAGTTGACTGAGCAAGGATGACTGCCTTCTCCACCTGACGATTTCAGCTGCTGCCCTTTTCTTTTCCTGGGAATGCCTGTCGCCATGGCCTTCTGTGTCCACAGGAGAGTTTGACCCAGATACTCATGGACCAGGCAAAGGTGCTGTTCCTCCCAGCCCAGGGCCCACCATGAAGCATGCCTGGGAGCCTGGTAAGGACCCAGCCACTCCTGGGCTGTTGACATTGGCTTCTCTTGCCCAGCATTGTAGCCACGCCACTGCATTGTACTGTGAGATAAGTCAAGGTGGGCTCACCAGGACCTGCACTAAATTGTGAAATTCAGCTCCAAAGAACTTTGGAAATTACCCATGCATTTAAGCAAAATGAATGATACCTGAGCAAACCCTTTCACATTGGCACAAGTTACAATCCTGTCTCATCCTCTTGATTACAAATTCCATCCAGGCAAGAGCTGTATCACCCTGAGGTCTCCCCATTCATGTTTTGGTCAATAATATTTAGTTTCCTTTTGAAAATAGATTTTTGTGTTACTCCATTATGATGGGCAGAGGCCAGATGCTTATATTCTATTTAAATGACTATGTTTTTCTATCTGTAACTGGGTTTGTGTTCAGGTGGTAAATGCTTTTTTTTTGCAGTCAGAAGATTCCTGGAAGGCGACCAGAAATTAGCTGGCCGCTGTCAGACCTGAAGTTACTTCTAAAGGGCCTTTAGAAATGAATTCTTTTTTATGCCTTCTCTGAATTCTGAGAAGTAGGCTTGACTTCCCCTAAGTGTGGAGTTGGGAGTCAACTCTTCTGAAAAGAAAGTTTCAGAGCATTTTCCAAAGCCATGGTCAGCTGTGGGAAGGGAAGACGATGGATAGTACAGTTGCCGGAAAACACTGATGGAGGCGGATGCTCCAGCTCAGCCAAAGACCTTTGTTCTGCCCACCCCAGAAATGCCCCTTCCTCAATCGCAGAAACGTTGCCCCATGGCTCCTGATACTCAGAATGCAGCCTCTGACCAGGACCATCTGCATCCTCCAGGAGCTCGTAAGAAATGCAGCATCGTGGGACCTGCTGGCACCTGGTGAACCCAAACCTGCAGGGCTCCTGGGTGTGCTTGGGGCGGCTGCAGGGGAAGAGGGAGTCAGCAGCCTCCTCCTGACCTTCCCGGGGGCTGCTTTTCTGAGGGGCCAGAATGCACCGGTTGACCTTGTTGCATCACTGGCCCATGACTGGCTGCTTTGGTCAGGTGTAAAAAGGTGTTTCCAGAGGGTCTGCTCCTCTCACTATCGGACCAGGTTTCCATGGAGAGCTCAGCCTCCCAGCAAGGATAGAGAACTTCAAATGGCTCAAAGAACTGAGAGGCCACACATGTGTGACCTGAATAGTCTCTGCTGCAAAACAAAGGGTTTCTTAATGTAAAACGTTCTCTTCCTCACAGAGGGGTTCCCAGCTGCTAGTGGGCATGTTGCAGGCATTTCCTGGGCTGCATCAGGTTGTCATAAGCCAGAGGATCATTTTTGGGGGCTCATAAACCAAAGACGGGTGACACTCTGCTGCCCATATCAGCCACCAGCTCTGTGTTTCCTGGAGGTAGAATTGGGCTGCAAAGATGGGCTTGGGTGACATTAATGGGTTTTAGGGATTCTGTGAGTTAAGATCAAGCCATTAGCCGTTAATGGGCAGTTGCTCCAGAAGGTAACAGGCATGCTGGCCCTGCTTGGTGTCAACTCCAGCTCACTGCTAACCTTACAAGACAGGGAAAACAAACTTTTTCTGTAAAGGGCCAGCTAGAAAATATTCTAGGCTTTGCAGCCCATATGGTTTCTACCTCAACTCGATTCTGAGCAGTAGCGTGAATGCAGCCATAGAAAGCCCCCCAATAAGTACTGTGGCTCTAGTCCCATGGAGCTTTTTTGGGAGACACCAATTGAATTTCCAATGATTTTTCCCATCATGAAGTATTCTATTGATCTTTTTTCTGCCATTTAAAAGTATAAAGGCTATTCTTAGCCCGTGGGTCCTACAGAAATAAATGACAGCTGGAGACAGCCCTCAAAGGAGTTTAATTTTTCAAATTCTGCCTCGTTCATTTCTTCAGCCAGCAAATATTTGAACCCCAACTGCTGGTGCTGAGGATCCCACAGCTCCCCAAGTCTGGCAGCTCTGAGGCATGAGCTCTGAGGGAGGTGCCCACCCTCTCCAGTCACACCAGTGTCTTGGCTTAGCCACAAAGCGCAGATCACGTATTATTCTTTTCTGTCTCTAAGATGAGGGATAAGAGTAGATGATGGTGAAGTTCTTATTTTTCCCCACATACAGATACAGCGTTCTTTAAATGGATCTAACCAAAATATGACCACACTGATGCTTCCTCTGTTTAAACATATTTTTCCTGCCTTCAAACAGCTGGTCCTGATTAGCCTCTGGACTCAGGTGCGATGCAACATCCTTGCCAGCCTGATGGGATGATGGCAGGTAGAGGCAGGGGCAGGAGCACCCATATCTGCCCCCTTTCTCAGCCAACAACTCTCCTGTCTTAATTTAGGAGGAAGGGTGCTGGGTATACTGAACAGGGCAGTCATCCAGGGCTTTAACTTCCTGGAAACAACAATGAGGTCTCCAAAATATAAGAATTCTTTTTCAACACCAAAGTTGAGAATTATTCTGTCTTAATGCTGATTGACAGTCTGTCAACAGAGATGAACAGGTCTGCTGCAAGTTTCTAACACCATGTTTCGAGATAAGTGAAGACACACTTGAGAAGGAGCAATTTTAAAAGACCCTGTGATCCTTTATGGTGTAAATAATCCCTCCCTCGGTTTAAAGATCAACTCAAGTATTTAGGTATTACCATGTTAAGTATTTTGCTACATTATGTAAAAGGATGACTTACAGGGTTACGTTTCTATAGAGAGATGCTTCTTCCCCATCACCACCCAAGTTCAGTTTTGGTTGCGGCCCACTCAACTCAATCGTGCCTTCAATAGCTCCTTGACGTTCGGAGAATAAGGACAGCAGTCAGGCCACCGGCATTTAACGAGTTTCTGCTATGTTTAAAGCACTTAATTTGAGATGGGACTAGGGTTTGAGGAGGTACATGGACACGAAGCACCCCTTCGTAAGTGGACGCCACAGCATGTGTGCAGGGACCACGGCCCCTGAGGTTAGTAATGGCACAGTTAGGAAAGGAAGAAAAAGAAAAATATCACTATTACCTGGTGTCAGCATCTCAACATTTACTGCCTGGGCTGTTAAGAAAAATCTTTTTGTTTTAATACACAAAATGTAATGTTTTAAGTAGATAATCCGACCACAGGGTCCAAATGTGGACACCGTGAAAAGGTGTTCATGGTGAAGTCGCGCTTGCAATCCGCTTGCAATCTTGTTCCTGTGCTCCGGTCCCCACAGCTCATCTTGAGAGAGAACCGTTTTTACTAGTTGCTGCTGTCTTTTCAGTGTTTATGTGAATACAAGCCAATCATGAATGTATATTCCTACCACCCCCTCATTCTAATCGGAAAGGACATGTACTGTGTATTCTGTACCTTGCTTTCTTTAAAGTTCATCCTGATTACTGTCTTTTATAAGGAGCCTGGTATTCCATTGTTTGGTTGCACCGCAGTCCCTATTAATGGGCACTTAGCCTTTTTCCTGTCTTCTGCTATTATGAGTCATCAATTTTTGTTATGATAACAGTGTATTTCATAATTGGCCAAGCGTATCTGATGGACAGATTTCCAGAAGTGGGATTGCGGCACCAAAGAGTCAACATGCTGTAATCTGGTCAGATTTTCCCAGAAAGTGTCCCTTGGTGGCATCACGTTCATTTTTCACTTTTACCAGCAACACTTCACTGACAGAAATTGTGGTGCCTTTATGTGTTTTCCAGTATCCCATGTCAGAAACGGTGGTTTTCAGAGGTGCCTTTATGCGTTTGCCAGTACCCCGTGTCAGAAACGATGGTTTTCATTTGCATTTCTCTTGTCATAAGTGAGTGTATTTAAAAATATCTTTAAAGCCGTTTCTATTTCTCTTTCTGTAGACTGTTTTGTTCATATCCCTTGGACTATTGAATTGTTGAACTTGTCAGGAAATACTTTGAAAGATTTTTACATGGGCAAAAATATATATATTTTTGGATGTCCTGACTAGCTCAGCCATCCAGGTTATCTCTGCATTTTATTGTCTTTGAGCTACTTTACAGCTCTATACATTGTAGAGAACTTATGATAATACAAATTATTCCTGTCCATAGAAATGAGAGAAAAGAATTTTTTTTATATATATACTTTAAATTCTAGGGTACATGTGCACAACATGCAGGTTTGTTACGTATGTATACATGTGCCATATTGGTGTGCTGCACCCATTAACTCATCATTTACATTAGGTATATCTCCTAATGCTATCCCTCCCCCCTCACCCCACCCCACAACAGGCCCCAGTATGTGATGTTCCCCTTCCTGTGTCCAAGTGTTCTCATTGTTCGATTCCCACCTATGAGTGAGAACATGCGGTGTTTGGTTTTCTGTCCTTGTGATAGTTTGCTGAGAATGATGGTTTCCAGCTTCATCCATGTCCCTACAAAGGACATTAACTCATCCTTTTTTATGGCTGCATAGTATTCCATGGTGTATATGTGCCACATTTTCTTAATCCAGTCTGTCATTCATGGACATTTGGGTTGGTTCCAAGTCTTTGCTATTGTGAATAGTGCTGCAATAAACATACGTGTGCATGTGTCTTTATAGCAGCATGATTTATAATCCTTTGGGTATATACCCAGTAATGAGATGGCTGGGCAAATGATATTTCTAGTTCTAGATCCCTGAGGAATCGCCACACTGTCTTCCACAGTGGTTGAACTAGTTTACAGTCCCACCAACAGTGTAAAAGTGTTCCTATTTCTCCACATCCTCTCCAGCACCTGTTGTTTCCTGACGTTTTAATGATTGCCATTCTAACTGGTGTGAGATGGTATCTCATTGTGGTTTTGATTTGCATTTCTCTGATAGCCAGTGATGGTGAGCATTTTTTCATGTGTCTTTTGGCTGCATAAATGTCTTCTTTTGAGAAGTGTCTGCTCATATCCTTTGCCCACTTGTTGATGGGGTTGTTTTTTCCTTGTAAGTTAAGTTTGTTTGAGTTCTTTGTAGATTCTGGATATTAGCCCTTTGTCAGATGAGTAGATTGCAAAAATTTTCTCCTATTCTGTAGGTTGCCTCTTCACTCTGATGGTAGTTTCTTTTGCTGTGCAGAAGCTCTTTAGTTTAATTAGACCTCATTTATCATTTTTGGGTTTTGTTGCCATTGCTTTTGGTGTTTTAGACATGAAGTCCTTGCCCACGCCTATATCCTGAATGATACTGCCTAGGTTTTCTTCTAGGGATTTTATGGTTTTAGGTCTAAATTTAAGTCTTCAATCCATCTTGAATTAATTTTTGTATAAGGTGTAAGGAAGAGATCCAGTTTCAGCTTTCTACATATGGCTGAGAAAAGAACTTTTATCTCAGGAGTATGAATCCTTTTAAACTATTAGGTCCAGAGAGACAGTAAAATCAGGCAGCAGTCACATCACATACACCCCTTGACCTTATGCGTGCATCTCTTGAAACTGCTTGCTGCTGCTACAAGTAGCTATGAATCAATGTAGTGATACCACGTCAGACACTGTACCCCGTGCCCTGTACCCTACAGTTATGAGTCAACCTAGTGACATACACTGGACACCATACCCCATGCCCTGTACCCTATAGCTGTGAGTCAACCTAGTGACATGCACCGGACACTGTACCCCATGCCCTGTACCCTACAGCTGTGAGTCAACCTAGTGACATGCACCAGACACCTTACCCCATACCCTGTACCCTACAGTTGAGTCAATCTAGTGACATGCACCGGATGCCGTACTCCATGCCCTGTACCCTACAGTTATGAGTCAACCTAGTGACATACACTGGACACCGTACCCCATGCCCTGTACCCTACAGTTATGAGTCAACCTAGTGACATACACCGGACACCATACCCCATGCCCTGTACCCTACAGCTGTGAGTCAACCTAGTGACATGCACCAGACACCGTACCCCATGCCCTGTACCCTACAGCTGTGAGTCAACCTAGTGACATGCACCGGACACCATACCCCATACCCTGTACCCTACAGCTGTGAGTCAACCTAGTGACATGCACCAGACACCTTACCCCATGCCCTGTACCCTACAGCTGTGAGTCAACCTAGTGACATGCACCAGACACCTTACCCCATACCCTGTACCCTACAGTTGAGTCAATCTAGTGACATGCACCGGATGCCGTACTCCATGCCCTGTACCCTACAGTTATGAGTCAACCTAGTGACATACATTGGACACCGTACTCCATGCCCTGTACCCTACAGTTATGAGTCAACCTAGTGACATACATTGGACACCGTACTCCATGCCCTGTACCCTACAGTTATGAGTCAACCTAGTGACATACACTGGACACCGTACCCCATGCCCTGTACCCTACAGCTGTGAGTCAACCTAGTAACATGCACCAGACACCTTACCCCATACCTTGTACCCTACAGTTATGAGTCAACCTAGTGACATACACTGGACACTGTACCCCATGCCATGTACCCTCCAGTTATGAATCAACCTAGTGACATCCACTGGACTCCATACCCCATGCCCTGAACCCTACAGGTATGAGTCAGCCTAATGATGCCACACCAGATGCTGTTACTGGCATCCTATAGGTTAATAATGTACAGCCAATCACTCGGCACTGTTGTTTCTGTAAACCGACAAGAATTCCTGACAGTCAACTTGCTGTCAGCCCACTCCTCATCCTCTTCTTTTGCCTTTAAAAACCCACTTGTGGCCAGGCGTGGTGGCTCACACCTGTAATCCCAGCACTTTGGGAGGCCGAGTTGGGCGGATCACCTGAGGTCAGGAGTTCAAGACCAGCTTGGCCAACATGATGAAACCCTATCTCTACTAAAAATACAAAAGTTAGCCAGGCATAGTGGCATGTGCCTGTAATCCCAGCCACCTGGGAGGCTGAGTCAGGAGCATTGCTTGAACCCAGGAATTGGAGGTTTCAGTGAGCCGAGATTGCGCCACTGTACTCTAGCCTGGGTGACAGAGTGAGACTCCATCTCAAAATCAACAACAAAAAAATAAAAAAATAACCCCACTTGTAACTGCTGCTTCTCAGAGCATATATTATCAGAGCATATACTCAGGGCAACTTGAATCTCTGCTCCCAGCTGCAATCCTCAAGCTTGGCCCAAATAAACTGCCTACTTATATTAACTTTGCCTCGGATTCTTCCTTTTAGGTTGACTATCTGGTATAGTCTGCAGGATTTAGAGTGTCTTCCCCTGACCACACGGTGTTTCTCTCTGAAAGCGGCACTTGGTACCAGCACAAACTCTGTCTTCAGAAGTCCCACCAGGTGTTTTGGGTGAGTTCTCCTGAAATTGGGCCTCCCACTGAAACTAGCCCAGTTGTCCCATAGAATTGCTGTTCGTGGTTTCTTTAGAATAAACATAGAAATTGACATTCCCAGTCTTAAAACTTGAGAAACTTACATTGGTCTTACCCGAGTTTCTTTCTCAGGGCACCAACTATCAGGCCTCCCGGATGGTATCAAGGAGCTCAAACTCACCAGGTCACCACATCTGGACAATGAGAGGCCAAACCCCTCACCCGCCATGACTGCCTAACCACCCACCTGCTGCCTGTTGACTGACTCCTCTTCCTTATCCCTCCCTAGTTCCTGTTTTCCTGCATGTAAGTTACATTTCTTCCCTGCTATATAAACCCCTAATTTTAGTCCGTCAGGGAGATGGATTTGAGACTGCTCTCCCATCTCCTCAGCTGCAGCACCGATTAAAGCCTTCTTCCCTGGCCATACTTGTCTCAGTGATGGGCTTTGTGGGCAGAAAGCAGCAGGACCTAGATCAAACCCCTAGCATTTTGGTAACACCACTCTTTGGTTGAAAGTCCTGACTTATTTAGGCTGTTTTTCAAACTCTTTATTTTAAGAGTAAGGGCTTTGCTCTCTGTCTTTGGATAGGAGATTCAGGTAAAGAGCTCCGTAGAGAAAGTTTTTCCACCTCTGTCTCAGGACAAGGGATTTGGGTCAAACTTTTTCTGTCCCTGTCTCACAGCAGAGGTTCAGGTCAACGGATTTGCCGTTAGGCGTTTGTGATCTCTTTGTACATTGTATGCTTTTAAAAATTGCAGTTACTTTTCTATTTTTGAAATGTGGGCCTGATTTTTCATTTGTGGCAAACTCCTATTAAATACCAGCAGGTTTTACATACATTATAGATATCTAGGAAAGGGGACCTACCTAACCAAGGATGATCATAAACAACAATGACCAAAAATGGAAGTCTTTTGAAATACCTAAAATAATTCATTTGTACACACAATTGGAAAAAGCCACTTTTAGAAACAAATTAAATGGAAGACTTCCAGCGGCACCTAAAAAGCTTCTAAAATAAATTCTGAGAAAATCGCCTCCCTTCAGGAGGTAAACAAAGAGATACCTGTCACTACCACCTGAGGAAACTCCCCAGGTCTCTGACCCCCTCCCTGAAACTCCTATTGTGGCAGCTCAGTGTCACCACAAACCCTTCTGGTTCTGGGGGCTGCCCAGTATTCTTCAACTATTCTCCACTCGATTAAAAAGACCACCCAATGAGCAAGATGGGTCTCCAAAAAACACCTTTGTTGCCTAGCTGACAATTGCTTAGGGCAATAAAACAAATAACTATAAAAGACTAATAGTCTAAAAGAGGGGAATGGACAAAAATAAAATTAGATCATTAAAATGCAGATCCAACAAATTTTTTCTGCTTTAGGACTCTAATGACTGACTGATGAAATGCTGACATCCAGGGAATTAGCTAAGTAGCATTCCAGCTGAAATCAGATAAAAAACAACTTTAAATCCTTTAAATGTTCCAACTACCTGCTTTGGATCCCCTGCAAGATTTACCCACAAAAAGGAAGCATGTCCACCCTGTGGCCTAATGACTGGGGTTTGGTGCTTTCACTGCTGCAGCCTGGCTCCTTCCTCATCAGGGAGCCAGTCCCTTTTGGTTTGGTATTTGTGATAGCTTCCAACTTCGTGGGATACTGCTTCGCCACTCAGGAAGGTTCCTTTGGTAAAAATGATTCAAAACACAGAACTATCATCTGTTTGTCCTGGCTAAAATCTGATAAAGAGATATGAATTTTTTTTTTTTAATTTTGAGACAGAGTCCCACCCTGTTGCCAGGCTGGAGTGCAATGGCATAATCTCGGCTCACTGCAACCTCCGCCTCCCAGGTTCAAGCGAATCTCCTGCCTCAGCCTCCCAAGTAGCTGGGATTACAGGTGCATGCCACCAGGCCCGGCTAATTTTTATATTTTTAGTAGAGATGGGGTTTCCCCACATTGGCCAGGATGGTCTTGAGCTCTTGACCTCATGATCCGCCTGCCTCAGCCTCCCGAAGAGCATGAGCCCCCGCGCCCGGGCAGTTTTTTTTTGTTTTTTTTTTTTAAAGCTCTATGGTCAGCTTAATTAAAACTGATATTCAAGCTATATGTGTACGTGTGTGTGTGTTTAAGGCCTTTCTGCTATTGCTCTTGGGGTCTCGTTTTGGAAATTCTTTTTCAGTAGATTGAAACCGTTTTTTAAAAAACTTACGTGTTTGGTTCCTCTGTGTTCACTTCCTTTCTCAAGAACGGCTCTGCCTGTTCTTCTTCCTGCTCCTCCTTCCTCTTTGGTTCCACGTGAAAGGATCTGGAGGGGACATCTCATGCCTCAGACACCTTAATGAGCGCAGGAAAAGGCCCCACTCACTGCTTTCCGGGGTCTTCTGTCTTCCTGTGCAGTCTAGAGAGTCACGGGCAGGGTCCTGTCAGGTCTGAAACCGCATTCTGTGCTGCGTGACCTGATCTCTTGGCTTTGGGGCCCTGGAGATTACATTGTACTGTGGGACAGGACTTAACCTCCGTGTGTGTGATGGCTGCCGTCACTGGTGAGAGCTGCAGTTTTGGGGGTGGCCGAAGGCACTTTTTTATAGTAAATGGTTATTACTACAGGGAGCTACTCATTTCTTTCCATGTTTAGATAAAAAACGTGCATTTTAAACACTTAGAGAAATGTCTTGGTAATGAAGTGTACTGTGCAGGTGTTGTATGGCCCAGTCCCATGACAGTCCTGTGTTTGAAGGGATCTGGGATTCAGTATAAAAGTAAAATCCTGGCCGGGTGCAGTGGCTCACACCTCTAATCCCAGCACTTTGGGAGGCTGAGGTGGGCAGATCACAAGGTCAGGAGTTCGAGACCAGCCTGGTCAACATAGTGAAACCCTGTCTCTACAAAAAATACAAAAATTAGCTGGGCATAATTGCAGGCATAGTCCCAGCTGCTTGGGAGGCTGAGGCAGAAAATTGCTTGAACCTGGGAGGTGGAGCTTGCAGTGAGCCAAGATCGTGCCACTGCGCTCCAGCCTAGGTGACAGAGCAAGACTCTGTCTCCAAAAAAAAAAAAAAAGGTCCTTCCAACTGCCTGGTTTTCACTTTTTTTTTTTTTTTGGACTTTTTTTTTTTTTTTTTTAAACAGAGTCTCACTCGGTCGCCCAGGCTGGAGTGCAGTGGCGCAATCTCGGCTCACTGCAAACTCCACTTCCCGGGTTCACGCCATTCTCCTGCCTCAGCCTCCCAAGTAGCTGGGACTACAGTTGCCTGCCACCACGCCTGGCTAATTTTGTTTTTGTATTTTTTGTAGAGACGGGCTTTCACGGTGTTAGCCAGGATGGTCTCAATCTCCTGACCTGGTGATCCACCCGCCCTGGCCTCCCAAAATGCTGGGATTACAGGCGTGAGCCACCACGCCCGGCCTTGGCCCTGTTTCTTAATGGGCTCTGCCCTGAGTCCATTGGTCCAGTTGGAAAACAGACTAAACCGAAAGCTACCTATACAAATGACATTGGCCTCCCTATAAAATCCTATGGTAAGTTACCTTGGCACCCCTTTTTAATTTTCCTCTAACTACCATACTTCAACTCCTCCTTAACAAGGCTGAAATTCTCTGTGTGTGAGAAATAAATTTGCTACCCTGTTTTCCTCTAAAACTCCATGAGGGCTTGGGCCCTGGGGGAGAGAGAAATCTCAGCCTGTTCCATTCACAGAGACACAGTTTAAACCCAACTGTTCTTTGATACTAGTGATTGTCACCTGACTCATGGCTGACATTTTAAAACTAACGCTATAAGATCTTTATGTCTGTCTGTATTTTTGTATATTCATGTGTACGTGTCTGTCTGTATATTGTTCATGGTACCAAAGTGGCTTATAAATAAATGAGTACTTGTAAATTAAGCAAATAAGCCCAAATGCTTTTCAAGTTCATGTGATTTTAGTCATCTTTGAGAGTTTTTAAATTGTTGGTGAAACAAAAATATCTTCAGCATTTAATTTAGACATTGTGCCTGGGTCTGTTGGTCAGGCAGGTTTATGCCATCTCTGCTAGAGGCTGGGGGTGAGGACACCTCCCTACAAGACAGGTGTGAAGGAGGATGCCCCTCCCTCATGGCCTACGGGGTTGGGCTTGAGAACTGGAACTGTGTCTCTAGGCCAGAGCTTGGGACCCAGGGGCTGCAGTCTCAGCTGGACTCCTTCCCCCGGCATCTTTGGGAGGGGATGTGGAAGTCCCTTGCTGGGACTCTGAAGGCTTCCCACAAACACTAGTGAAATCTGAATAAAAATGCTTGGAAATGATTTATGAAAAGAGTACCTATGTGTATACATGTGTACATTTGTGTATACATTCAAATTTGCAGATAAGAGCCTACCCTTGGGGAAGCTTACATTCTGGCAAGAACTGATTGTTTTTCAGCTCCTTTGTTCTGAGTAAGCTCTCTTTGGCCTAAGGATCCAGAGCAGTAAGAAACTGAAAACAAATAACAAAATTTTTACTGGAGACAAATCCAAAAATGTGTGGTCCTCAGTCCCACGTCTCTTCACCCTCCCATTAGCAGGTATTCAGCTGCTAGAATTATTAAAAGATTCTAAAAATTCAGAGCTTAGTCTTTCCTAATGTTTATGATCCTCTTTAAAGTGAGATAGAAAACAGTGGATTGGCACTTTTAACAGAATTTTTTTTGGTAGAGGTGGGGTCTCACTGTGTTGCCCAAGCTGGTCTCAAACTCCGGACCTCAAGTGATCCTCCTGCCCTGGCCTCTCAAAGTGCTGTGAGTAGAAGTGTGAGCCACCACGCTCATACTTTACAATTTATTCTACTTTCTGGTTATACTTTAATGAAACTTTGAGTGTAGTTTGACATACATACAGACACACATACACACGTGTATGTATATGCATATGTGTCTAAATTCATGTTTACAGATAACTGAAATTGACTGTTCTCAGTGCTAGGATAGCACTAGCATTGTGTGTGTCTGTCTTTGGAAGGATGCATGGGAAACTGGACAGGTCCGTGACTGCCTCTGAACAAGGGAACTGAATTGGCTGAGACATTTTCACTTTGTAGCTTTTTCAACCTTTACTTTTGTTTCAATTTTAAGACTAAGATAATTTTTTTAAATTCCAGCGTTGGAGAAGACTTGGACCTTCTCTCTCCAGGGGCTCCTGGTTAGATAAAAATAGGTTCCTCTTGTGCCAAACATGATTTCCCTCCGTCTGTTTCCTTCCCGCTTTTCACATTTCTTGGGTCGTCTTCTCTCATCTTCACATCTTGGCCTGCTGCCCTCACTGTGCCGTTGCCCCTGCTCGTCCTCTTAAGCCAGTACCCTCCTTCATTCTGCCTCTGTAACCACGTCAAATCTCCCATAGCTTTCCTATAACTCTTACTACACACCTCTCTAGCAAGCCTCTTTCTAACTTCCCCCCACTTTCAAAAGTATTAATGTTCATTGTAAAAATATGAAGGAGGAAAATAAATCATCCAAAATCGATATGGTTCCTCTGTCCTGTTTCATCTCCAGCCAGCCTCTGCTCACCCTGAAAGGTTCAGCTCACTAGTTCTTTCCCTGAGATTTTATGCTTCCTCTGTATCCTACAGTCCTGCGTTCTGTCTTCATGGCATCTTGCTCACTAGAGTGTAAGCTTTCAAGAGACCGGAGAGGTCTGCTCTGCTCTGCTCATTGCTGTATACCCGACATCCCACATCCCACACAGATGCTGTAGGAGCTCAAGTAGCTCTCACATTGATGAATCGGTGGTTGATGTTTACACAGTGTTTTCTGAATTTCCTCGGCATTCTATAGCTTCTGCTATTCTATCCTTCGTCGTTCCAGGAGGGTAGGGACTACTTCCTGTCCTTGCAAGGCTTTATGAAGCCACCTACAGTCTGTAAAGGACTACCGAAGAGGAGGCGTGGTATTATGAATACCGTGACACCAAGAAGGTCTAGGTCTGTTTTCTCTGCAGTATGGAATTAAGGAGTTCGACTCAAGGGTTCTCAGACTGCCCTTTAGAGCTACAGGGAGACTTAGGATCCCTTGCCAGGGTTGCCTAATTGAAATGTCATTTTGGAGCTTGACTAGATATTTGTAAGCTTTCAAACCTGAGACTTTGAAACATATCAAGAACCTACCCTCAGGTAGGCTTAAATTCTGGCAAGAACTGATTTTTTTTTTTCAGCTTCTTTGTTCCGAGTAAGCTCTAATACATGTTTGCTGTATGAATATCTACTATAGGTAAGGCGCTGATAGGGCATGCTCTGGTCTAAGACAAAGCCCTTATTTTTGGGTTGCTCTGTCCAACGTACCGAATTGAATACAGGTCGCCACCGGCACATGTGGATGAGCATGGCCAGTCTGAATGGAAATATGCAGAAGCTATAAAAGACACACCGACTTTTAAAGACTTAGTGCTGAACATGAATGTAAGCGATCTCATTTTTATGTTAATTACATGTTGAAGTGATATTCTGGATATATTAAGATGCATTATTAATGTCACCTACTTCTGACTTTTCAAATAATGGCTACTAGAAAATCTGAAGTTACATGCATGCCTCGTATATTTTTATTTAATAGTATTGCTTTATGGAGTTTACAATTTAGTGCAGTAGTACTTCATCTCATGAATTTACACACTCCTGAGCACCCGGCCTCTCACGTACTGTCCCTGGCCAGAAGAATCAATACCACCTGGAGGCTCATTAGAACCGGCAGATTTACCGGCCGCACCCATGCCAGACCCACTAAATCAGATTCTGCATCTTTACCAGGTCCTCAGGCGATCTGTGTGCTCACGAATGTTTGAGAGGCTCTGGCTTACTTAAATTACAGTAACAGGCCTCCACTTGTATCGCTCCCCACATTTTTGCTGCTCCAGTCCTACTGGATTAAGGATTCTTAACGTGAGGGTCAACATAATTCTAGGCCTTAGGAATCCACAGAATTTTATGCAGCATTACCTGTGCATGCATGTGTGTGTGCACTTTTCAGGAAAGGGTCCATTGCTTTTTTTTTTTTCCCGCCCCCCCATGTCAGTAAAGCAGTGTTCTCAAAGGATGTTCCCGTCAGCAACACTTAGGAACTTGGGAGCAATGCACATGCTGGAGGTGGAGCCTAGTGGTGCTTTAATAAGCCCTCCAGTGATCCTGATGTCACAAGTTTGGGAACTACTGAATTAGAGACTGAAGGCAAAGAACAGGGCGAGGCCACTTGGTACATCATGGTCTAGTCTGGGTGACCAGGACTGTGAGACTGCCCTGAACCGAGATGGGCATCCAGTGAGCTGGCTGGAGAAGTGGAGTGAGGCAGGGGAAGGTGATGGGTTTGATTCCAGATGTATTGAACTTGATGACTTCAATTTCAAATGTTTGTCAAATAATTTTCTATCCATATATTCAGCCTAGCGTAAGAGTTAAGAAAATGGGTTTTACAATCAAACAGAACTGAGCTTGAGACTGACCTACTGGGTAAATCTGAGCAAGTTATTACATCTTTTTAAACTTCCCTGTTTACACCTATCTTGTCTTGAGTAGCCCGACCAAAGCTATTACTTTCCTCCAGTTGCACACTTTTCCTTCTTGTTTATGAAAAGATCACTTTCACACAAGTATCCTATTTCTAGTTTTATTTTCTTTTAATATTGGAATGTGGCAAAATGCTTTTTATTCTCTAAGCCACTTGCTTCACTACTTCAATTTGGTCGCCCCCAATTACAGAAGCAACCTTGTCACTTCACTCACTCCATACACCCTCCTAGAGGCCTTCTTTCACTTTGCTGTCATCAATGACTGAAATTTTTAGTGATACTCATGTATTATAGATATGGGTTTCATATTTGTCAGTTGGAATTTTTTTATTGAAAAGACTTTTAGAACACAATTCTAATAATTAAGGTCTAGAATCAGAGTTGGCATTTCATAAAATAACAAGTGACACTTTTTTTTTTTTTGAGATGGAGTCTCGCTGTGTTGCCCAGCCAGGCTGGAGTGCAATCGGGTGATCTCGGCTCACTGCAACCTCTGCCTCCCAGGTTCAAGAGATTCTCCCGCCTCAGCCTCCCAAGTAGCTGGGATTACAGGCACCTGCCTTCATGCCCGGCTAATTTTTTTTGTATTTTTGTACAGACAGGGTTTCACCATGTTGGCCAGGCTGGTCTCGAACTCCTGACTTCAGGTGATCCACCCACCTTGGTCTCCCAAAGTGCTGGGATTACAGGCATGAGCCACCACGCCTGGCCGACACCTCATTTTTGAGGACCAGTAAGCCTGTTGCTTAGGAAAATATATCTAGAAGAACAAAGACAAAATGAGGGTGAATAGAATGATACTACTACTACTGTTGGAAACTTTACAATCCTACAGGAACTGGGACTTTAATATTCAGACCTAAACCATCTGATCCCAGTTGTGATACGTCTATCACATGAATGATGAATGATGGCATGAATGATGAAAACCAGAGTACCGACTAAGGCTGGGTTAATGTTGGCACTAAGACCTGGGGCTGGTCAACTACCCACAACTACCATACCAAGAAGTAGATGAAAACAGCAGAGGGTTAGCCTCAGCTGGCCTCCAATTAAGAATCTATTCCATTCTGAGTTGTGTATCTGTTTTTCAGGCTGATTTGCAATAATTGATATGCAGCTGATATAATAATCATCCTCTCCTTATTATATCATGTATGGTCTTTTTGAGATCTGGTGAAAGTAAATTCAATTTATACGTTTAAGTGAACAAATGATGTTTAACACACTGATTTTATATAAAGTTAAGCAGTCACTAAAGAGTGACCCACAGTATGTGATCAACATTTAGCGACGGTAGTATTTGGTTGGGTATAGGGGACTACACTAAATAAACAAATTACTAAAGCTAGTTTTTTTTAAATACATTTATTAACCAATGTTAACACATTAAATGAATCTATATATTGCTAGTCAGAGCAGCTTACAAAATGCCAGAATGCATCATAGAACTGGACAGCCACAATGAATAATTACAATGTGCATAGTGGCTAAGCTCAACACCTCGATATAGCTTTATGATTTGCAGAAAATTTTTAATAATGATTCCTAAAACAATCAATTGTAATTTTACCTAAAACTTTTACAAAACCAGGCCACAATCTCTTTTTTTAATTTTGTTTTTTTTTAAACACACAGTTTTCACGCTGTAGTAACTTGGAAATGTGCAACCGTGTCAACAGAGACAGAAAAGCCAAAGTAACACGAATCTCACTTTCATGCAGCTATCAGTTAAATATTACATACTCTGGAATGATTTTACACCAAAAATATTTCCACAATTACTTGCTCTCATAGGGGTGGATCGAAGTCTTAAAACTTGAAAAACAATCAAAGAAGGTTAAGTGTTCTCGGTTCTGACATCTCCATCAGCGCCACACACTGTGGCAACACTGACTAATTACACAGCAACAAGGAGGGAACGATGATGCCAAGTTACTGCATAATTTAGGTACATTGTATGAAATGGGGCTACTGGGTACTTTTTACAAAATATTGTGCACCATTTGGCAGTAGTTTGTCAATTAACTTGTGTCACCACCATCTGCAACAGCATCAAGATTAGATGGATGATATTTCACAGAAGACTTAGTTACATTTTTATCTTTAGAGTGACCCTGACAAACCTGGAGAATACTTTTTAAAAGGCTTTTCTCCTGATTCTTTCACTTCCATTGTGAGTAATTGCTTTAATAAATATCAAAGGTCTAAATAAATATGTACAAATTATTCTCTAACCTCAAAAAATAACTAAATGATAAATGGGAATTTGACTTGGTCTAAGATCAGTCTTTAAAAATACCACATAAATTGTGAGATATTTTAAAAGAAAAGTAATTTAAGTTTTCCTGGCTGTATTTTATATATCTATGTATAAAAAATCATTATTCAACTATCGATCCATTCCTATTGGTAATGCTTCTTAATCCAGACATTCCGCAAAATACAGACTTTTTACAAATCACGGCATCTTTAATACAAGAAAATTAACATGCATTATTCTTCATTCTGTGTACAGTGATGGAGTTCATTAGTAGGCAATGACCCATTACTACAAACATAACGGCTTCTGTGAAACTTAAGTGCTTTCTCTTCTTTTAGTATTAACTTACGATACATGAGGTGACACCAGATAATAGGCAGTGAGATGATATGTGGGAAGGGAAGGGAAGCATTAAACAAATTCGTATGCCTCATCTATAATTTCACATATGGATAAAGGTAGTTTTTGGCTTTGTTTTTGTTGTTTATTTTGTTACAAGCACTCATGTTAGGACAAAGATGAAATGTGCAAACTTTAAAATTTAAATATTCATTTTCTCTAAGATCCAGCTCAGTAAAAGATTACCCCAGTTCCCTGCAATTTTAAACTACAAGATCAAAGCTAATAATTTGTTATAAAAGTTATATATTGAAAAGAAATAATGAAAAACACAATTGGGAAATATTTAAGAAAAAATATGCAGGACTAGCCCTGCTGTGTCAACCCTGTTCCCTAAATTCAATCATATACCCACTGGTGTGACCAACAGATAATGCCTTTGAACAGTAAATTAAGCTGAACAAAACCAGCTCAACAAGGTTAAGAAAAAAATGTCACATCAAGGTAGTATGTTTTATTTCTGAAACAGTTCTGTAGTTCTTACATTCAGATCTATTCTAAATGTTTCTTTGTTAAACTCACTTGTATTCACCTGTTTTTTAAAGATCTGTTGTTTAAAGGTTAAAATCTCTGTAAAACCTAAAAATGTTTTAAAATTTGCTGAAAATGCAACAAATTCTCAATTAAAATTTATTTAAAATAATACCCTCCACTGATGTTACTTTTACCCCCTGAAAAACTTCGGAGGAGCATTAACAAAAGATTTAAACTACTGTGCAAAATTTCTTCACGAAAAGTGTTTAAAGGCTGGTGCAAAATGGGAAGCAAATTCTAAACAATTTTGGCTTCTTGGAAACAAAAACCGCTGTGTCTGAAAAGAGTAATCATCGGGGTGACTCCGGGAAGGGCCAGCTTCATCTTTTCCGGCGGCAGGTGCGCTTGTGCTCCGCGTGCCAGTGCTCCTGCTGGCACTTGATGGAGCAGTAGGATGTGTTCCAGCAGCAGTGGTACATGGCCTCCTCCTCACAGTTGTAGCACTGCAGGTAAGAAATCGGGGCAGTCTTTAGACTTGGGTGTGGATGTGTAAGCGACTGGTTAAAATGGCAAACTCTTGAGGTGGTGCTTTTAAAAGATCTTTCTGGCTCAACCTTTTGTGGAATCTGAATACGTTTTATGCACAGCAGATGGAAAGGGAGCCCTGGGGATGACTGCAGCTCATGCCTGGTTGTCAGCAAACTCAAGCTGCTGTCAGGTGGTACCTGACACCTCCCGTTTTTTCCATCTCTGTGAGAGTCATTCCCGTTTCTTTTCTTAAAATGCTCTTGACTTCACATCCCTTTCCAGCTACCACTTGCATTTCTCTGCTCCCCACAAGCTCCTTGAAAGACTTGCCTAAACTCCCTATTTCAAATTCTTCTCTCGTCGTTAACATACGCTGCAGTCTTTACTCATACCATGCCACTAATATGCTGCTAGCAGGGTCACTTACAACTTCAAATCTAGTGGCCAAGTCTCAGTCTTCATCTTATTTGGCAATGTCTGGAGATATTTTTGACTGTCACAACTTAAGGGCAGAAGGTACTACTGGCAGACAGAGGCCTGGGATGCTGTTAAACATCCCACCATGTACACCTCCCCCAAAGAATGTTCTAGTGCAAGGGTCCATATACCATGGTTGAACTCTTTGGTCATGGGAGAAGAGAAGAGTGAAAAAAGTAAAGCTAAAGTTCCAAGCTGGGTTGGTGAACTAACAGTAGTACCATGAACAGACACCCACAGTGAGGCAAGGAAGATGAGAGACCTTCTGGATGTAAACAAACACTTGACAACAGGTCAGTATAAATATGAAAGTTCTGTAGATAGACACATGCAGATCTGACGGCTGTTGAGAGCCCTGGAGGAAGAACCCAGGGAGACTAGCCTACATTTGATACCTAAACATTCTAATTTCCTTCCTGTGTATTGTGTGCATTATTATCCATTATGTCAGCAAGTGCACCTTCAGAAAAATCCCCATTAGGTGCAGAGTCAGTTTTGGAAACGGCTTGGATGAGGCGTGTCGGGATTCACATCTGGGGTCTGTGCCACCCACTGGTCATGTGGCTTCAAGTTATTTAACTTCTTAGTTTCCTCATCTTTCAGACTTTACACAGCACCACCATCCCTTCTCCCAAATACCCTATTATTTCGTTTTCAATTTCTCCCTTTCTGGGGATATATTTAATGGATACATCTATCTGTGTTTCTCGTGACATCCATTATTCGGCATCTGGCATACCTACATGCTTTCTGTCCTATAATACTACTCTATTTCTTACAACAATGTAAGATGTAATTGGGAAGAAAGAATTCTTGATTCTTTGAGAGTGAGTCTCGCTCTGTCGCCCAGGCTGGAGTGCAGTGGCACAATCTCAGCTCATTTTGATCTCTGCCTCCTGGGTTCAAGAGATTCTTCTGCCTGAGCCTCTCAAGTAGCTGGGGTTTCAGGCACACACCACCACGCCCGGCTAATTTTTGTATTTTTTGTAGAGATGGGGTTTCACCATGTTGCCCAGGCTGGTCTCAAGTGATCTGCCCACCTCGGCCTTCCCAAGTGCTGGAATTACAGGTGTGAGCACCGAGCCTGGCCGAGAAGAAAGAATTCTAACCCTTTTACTAGAATGTGATGAGCACAAAAAGCTCAGCTCTGCCAACTAGGTTTTTAATCATTCTATTTAATCTCATAAGCCTCAAATTCTTCATCTTAAAGAAGAGTACAAAAATACCCACTTTAGCTGTTTCACAAATGGTAAAGTGCTACAAAAGACAGTATTATAATTATAGCCTCTTCTTCCCATTTTCTTGATTCTTTAGTAAACTTAAGAGATTTCTACTCATAAGAATTTTTTAAGAGACAGGGTCTTGCTCCATCGCCCAGGCTGGAGTGCAGTGGTGCAATGACACCTCTCTGCAACCTTGCACTCCTGGGCTCAACCAATCCTTCCACCTTGGCCTCCCAAAGCACTGGGACTACGGGCATGAGCCACTGCACCTGGCGTCTTTGGGTGTTGTGCTTCTGTTATCTTCAGCACACCTTAATTCCCATCTAATGATATTGTGAGAGTTGATCACACAAATTCAGTCATTCTTGTCATACCCAACTAAAACTGAGTTGAGAAGCTGGGGGGAGAAGCACCTGGAACACAAAATGTTGGCTGCAGCTCTCAGACTAGTTTTGCCGACTGCCATCCCTCACCAGTCAGAGCTTGTCAGCTCCTCAAAACCTTACGAGCAGCAGTGAAATTTCTTAAAGAAGAACATGGAAAAGTTATTCGGAAAGCACGCTTTCACTTGTACTGAAGGCTATAACACCCAATGTGCAGGTTGTTTTTTTAACAGAAAATAAAGTTCTCTTTTTCCCTCCACAGATCTCCTGGTCTTTTGTTAACAATATTTATTTTGTTATTCACCAGCTCTTCCTACCAAGTTATCTTCATCTATTCGAAGTTTCCATTTTCCTTCTTGCCAAATCTTTGTCACAGATTTAAAAATATTTCTTTCATGAAAAGCTTATGTGTATTTATATAATATAGGCTTGATAAAATGAAGAATTAGTTTATCACAAAACTTTATATAGTCATTTATTAAAACTGAAACCAAGTTATGAGCTTTCGGGAGCAAAACTTTTCCCTAATTCACTGAGCACTGTGGCGGCTGTAGGACGAGCACTTGGACCCTGTGCACTCAGAAGCTCCCACTCTAGTGGGGAGGATGAGACTGGCGAGCAGGACACGATGACAAATGATACTAGTCAGGTATGAGGGAGGGTAGTTAGAGACCAATGAGATGTCACTACTATAAAGTAAAAGTAACTGATTTCTTTAACAAAATCTAATGTATAAATGTTAAGTGCAGGGAAATCTGAAACTATTTATTGTGATAATTACATTTATAATTTCACCATTTGGATGTTACCCATCTGAAATCACCAGGTAAAAGTCAGGGCCAGCCACTTTGCCCAAATAAAATATATGCATAGATGGAGAAATTATATAAGTTAATTGTAATAAATATGTACTAAGGTATTATAATCTCAATTTAACAAAATAATCCTGAGCAGTACACAGTAATATGGGATCTGGGGTTGAGAGATCATAGGACTTTTAATAAAATTTTTAAAACTAAAGCTGACCATTTCACATTTGATCTTATTTCAGAAACATCTTCTGCATGTGCCACAGCTACCTTCTGAATTAACGGGCATCATACCTGTGGTACATTTTCAGAAATAAGGGTCTAAAAAAGACTGGTATTTACCCACTGCTTCTTCTTGGTCTGAGAAATCAGTTGCTTGTGCTGTGTTGCCAGCTTCTTGATTTCTTCTACAAATTCTTCCTTACACTTTTCCTTTACTTGCTTACATTTTCTGTCCATCTCACCCTGCATGTTGGCTACAGCTTTATTTACAGCTTGTCTCTTTTCTTCTTCCATTTCAGAACGCAGCTGGAATGAAAAGACAACCCACAGTGCGTCAGCACACAACTTAACACAGACCATCTACACTGGAACAGAAACTTAACACAACTTGCATGAGGTACCTTTTTTCCCCTTCATTACATGTGTAAAAAATTTAGGTGAGGAAAGTATCATTATTACTTGAAATGCTGTAAAAGATACTGGTGTCATTATATGGCTACATGTAAAAGCTGCTACTGGGTTGATGCATGAGTGAAAGGAGCCTAACCATGACAGGAGTGCCGGCTGCAGCAGGGCACCCACAGTGGCGACAAGCATTACCTTCTCCAGAGCTTCTCGGACAACACGCTCTGTCTCCCGCTTGTGGTCCGACTTCATCCGGTCTTTGAAGTCATTGAAGATCTTGGTGTATTTGTCATGGCACATGCTCTGACACACGCCGTCGTTTGTGGTCTGGGTGCTCCGATGCAGCATTCTTGGTGAAGAGGCACTTAACTTCTTTGTCTGAGTTGACACGGAGACTTTTTCGATGGGCTGAGGCATCGTGGGTATTTCCTGGCTAGAACTTACTGCTTCTGTTTCAGGCTCTGGTTCCTAAAAGGTGAGACAAGAGTTTAGACGCCAAACGAAGCCACATAATTCACCAGTTCAAGAACTACCCCATTCGGATAAAAATTCAGTGATATACATAATAGCCATAGAATAAACTGCTGTTGAAAAATGTAGTTAGGGTGGTAGATGTCACGTATATTTTGCCACAATTTAAAAATAAACAAATCTCCCCCAATTAGTGAATGAAAAGAACATGCAATTAACAGCTACAATAATTATAAACATAAGCTTCATTTATAATTTTACTTATCAATACTATAAGTTTTGTTTTTAAAATAAACTAAACACAGAAATTTATAGAATATAAAAATTATTGTCAACTTATAATTACTTCATTGGACTAGATTCATTAACACATTTCCTCAAATCCTAAACCACTTCTCACTGAATATGTGTTTGAAATGTGCCCAGATTTACAGTTTTAAAACATGCAGGGCTTATATCACTTAAAACGGCTGAGCTCAACCACAGTCTCCTTCAAGTTTTTAAATGTTGGCACAACTGATATACTGGATAAATGTGTTGTTTTTAATCATACTTAGGAAAAATATCAGAGCTCCCAGGAAATGTATTAATAGCAATGTGCCCTTCCTACTTAGCCAAGCTTTGGTCAGCGGCTGCTTAATTAAGATGGAGACTTGGAGCATGTACGCTATTCCAGGGTAACAGATAATGACAGGGAAGTCAGAAGACTGGTTTCAACTTGATGGATATGATTTGACTGACAGCAGCTGAATTTCACAAGTATCCACCAAGAGTGACTGTCTTTGAAATACTTTGAAAATACAAAATACTTTGAAAATATTTCCTGTTTCATTTGCCACCTGGATACTGCGAGGTGGGCAACTTACTTCCTTTTTGGGCTCCACACTTTGATTACGTCGTCCTTTCTTTGCTCTTGGTTCTTGAGTGACCTTTAGCTGTGGGCATTATAAAAGTAATATATTATTCCAGACACTAGAAAATACTTCTCTGCTGAAAACACTCATAGTGGACCCACAGGTGAGAAGTGAATACATTTCTACCTTTTGCATCCTTCCATCCACTCAGTTACCACTGACTTAATTTACTGTTCTGGTAACTGTAGGCTTGAAAGAGCCAGCGCACCTTCAGAGAGGAGCACTTGTACTTAACTCTCTTGGTACTGGCAGGGTCAAGGTCATTGATTGTTACATCTATGTATTCATTTGAACTGCTTTTGGTTTAGTTTTGCAGAGCACTTTACAAATGTAAAAAAGGGAAGGAGAACGTCAAAATCTGTTCATTACAGTGAGGAGTGTGCACTAAGATTTCTGCATTTAAAAGTAATAATGAATAGGCACTTCCTTCCGGAGACACACTCACCTGCTCATTACTGGTGGAGGAGATACTGGATTCTGCCTCTTCCTCACCTCGGTCCTCATTCTTAGATTTCCAAAATCTCCCTTCTCGTAGGAAACGCTGATGCAGCTCCAGCTCATCACAGGCCTTTTTCCAACCCATACTGCGCTTCACGTGCAGCCGATGAATGTTGACTGTGATATCTTGAATGTTTTCAGAAGGAATCCAGGCCCTAGGAAAAACACATAAAGGTATAGTTAGAAACATCCCAAATGGCAGGAAGGGTGGTAAAAGAGGGCTTCAGTGGACCCTGCCTGCCATAAAGTGCGACCTGTGGCAGTTCTCGTCTGTTAGCTTGGTGCAAAAGCAATTGTGGGTTCTGCCGTTACTTTTAATTGCGAAAACCACAATCACTTAGGCTTCGTCATGGCTTGAATAAATAAACTGTTACCAAGCGGAAAATAAATGAGATTTGTTTTGTCTTTCACAGTCGACAAAAGTTCTCAGAACTGGATTCACAAATGCCTCCCAATTGTTCACAATTCAATCAGCTTAGCTTGTCCTAGTTCATATCTGTATTCTTCATAAGTCCTTTTAAAGTTATTTGTTGTTCTGAATACTGTAAACTAATATAACCCATCTAGCTATTTGCCGTTAGCACTAAAGAATCACTTGAAAATGCCCAAAAATTTTCATAAGATACATACATATATTCATATAAAATGGGAAGATCTAAAAATATTATCCAGTAAGTCATATTTGTATCATGCCTCTACTCATTAGAGAAACCAGATGAACACACAGAGCCACTGATTATTTAGCCACAGTGTACTTAGCTGTGAACATAAGTGCGATACATATCTAAAACTAGAGCAGGACAACTACATTTGCTTCTGTTGGAAAGAACACTTTTTCCTGGGCATTGGTCTCTTTCTCGGCTTAAATTTGTATCCATCCCAAATGTTGTGTTCAACAGATGTTTACTGTGTACCAGGGGAAGGCACTAAGAAGAATGGAAAAGTGAATGGGGTCTACGTGATCTTGAGTTTCATTGCCTCATTTGACAGCGGCAAGAGATGCTGCCCACAGGTGTTAAGGTAAACTATTAGTGGTTGGAATCTCTCGGGTCTTCTGATTATTAGGATGGCACTTCCTACACTGCCTCTGCCTTTGAGGGACTTACAATTTTGTCAGAAAGAACTAAGGAATAATTATAATGCAATGCAGCAGGTGGTAAAGGTACTCTAGGGTGCTATGGAAAGGAACAGTTAACATTTGGTTGTGAGTGGTCAGAACATTTTATTCGGCCTTGGTCTTGGAAGATAAGATTTAGACAGCAGACAATGTGAGTGGAGAGATTCCAGGCAGAGGGAACATCACAAATGAGGTAGGAAACTGTATGGATGCATGAGTAACAGACATTTTCTACGGTAGAGTACAAGTTGCGATATGGTACTATAAACACACGTATTTATGCTTTTCAGTTTTCTGTTAAAGATTTTTTCCTGCTATAAGTATATATGATATCACAGTTTTCATCCCTGGCCTGTAATTATAGCGCTCCAGAAATCCTGGGCCTATGACTGTTGGAAGGAATCTCTTAGGGAATCATGGCCACATGTGCCTCAGCCATAAATAACCATTTCCACTTCCTTGTACAAGCCAAGCTTTATAATCTAGAAGCACACTTTAAATATACAATAATCTATATCATTAGATGCTAACAACAGCTAAAATTGTTAGAGTTGAACTTCCATAACATTATTTATGAATATATTGTTAATATTATATCAACTATGTCTCATCTGGCATAAGTACTTTGTTAAAAACCATATCAAAGTAAACTGAACTTTGAAAAACTAAACTCTAATGCAGAGTACACATGAAATCATGCTTGTGGAATAGTTTCTTGCCATTAGATTTTGAATATATTTACTCTTCCAATCAACAGATATTTACTGATTTCCTATTATGTAGTAGGAATTCAATAAAAGTGGTTTGTTCACTTTTTCAAAGTAGTTTGCTTTTGAGAGAGAATTCTGTTACAAGCAGTGCTGACTACCTGGAATGAACTTGTATCTGTAAGAGTATTTTCCTTATTTATCTTAAATAAAGTGGATTCACATCTGTTCTTTAAATGTACTTCTATTCTCCTTTAATCAACTCCAGTACTGTAGATAATTTTTTAAACTGAAATCTGATTATCACGGGGTATGCTCTCTGATCTACAAAAAATAAAAAAGCAAACACCCGCAATTTAAGGTAAGTCTAATAACAAGAGGAATAGTCTAATCTGGCTCTATGTCTGCCAATGCTCTAACTACATTTGCAGAATAAAATGGTTCTGTGATCTGATGTCAGTGAGCCCGAAGTGCTCTACCTCTTTTTTGTCTGTACCTGGTTTCCTGGCCTGGGCCATGCCATCCACCAGCCACTCTCGCAGCAGAAAGATCTAGCCTCCTTAAGACAGGTCTTATCAGCTACTTTTCTTTGGCAGGCGAAATCTTGCAAATCCTACAAAAAGCTCACTAAAGCAGCTCTCACATGTAAACACAATCATACTCGACTCTTTTGCTGGAGATTTACAACGTGCTCATTGTCTCCGACGAGCAGCATATTCTATTTGCGTGTCTAGGAGGGAATGGTACAAAACCATTCATTTTTTTTCCTCCCATTTACATGTAATGATATGATGGACTAGCAGAAGAATAATTAGCCAAAACTTGCAACCAGTGGCTCCTGATCAACCAGAACCTTTTGAGCATAAGTTGCTTAAATAATTAAAAATTCATGATTATAATTGTATCAAATTTTTTAAAATAAACATTCTAATATGGAAGACTATAAAGTATATCCTAACCAGTCCTTCACTTCAAATTGTTCACATTGTATCCAGGAAAAAGGAAAATGATTTTACACAGTGAGTTTGTCAACCTCTCTTATTTTCTAAAATAAAGTCCTCAAGAGTCCCATCTGTCTAGAACTATTTACATAAAATCTTCCAGGACCTAAGAAGCTTGACGGAAAAAAAATACCTCTGAAAATGTAATCTGATGTTTCCTAATTCTCTCTTCAGGTGACAGACTACTCTAGGACTGCTGCAGATTAGCACCATTATTATTATTATTTTTTTGAGACGGAGTCTCACTGTGTCGCCCAGGCTGGAGTGAAGTGGCACAGTCTCTGCTCACTGCAAGCTCTACCTCCCGGGTTCACGCCATTCTCCTGCCTCAGCCTCCCAAGTAGGTGGGACTACAGGCACACACCACCACGCATGGCTAATTTTTCATATTTTTAGTAGAGACGGGGTTTCACTGTGTTATCCAGGATGGTCTCGATCTCCTGACCTCATGATCCAGCCGCCTCGGCCTCCCAAAGTGCAGGGATTACAGGCGTGAGCCACCGTGCCTGGCCTAACCCAAATATTCTTTAAAAATATTTTCTGCATAGTATACTGAATGACATCTAACAAGTTAACTCATTATTAATATCACTCATGGTTGAAGACAGTATAAAGCTACTTGCAAGTTGATGAAAAAGAAAAATATATAGATAAAAAGTTCTAATTATCAGATTATTCTTACCTATTAGTATGGCTATAAAAATAACTGAATTCTTGTTTTTTCTAAGTTAACTGTGTTTTATTTAATGTGAAAAACATTGAAGCAAACTTTCCCCCGTTATTCCTTGAATATCTGTTGTATTATAAAAGCTGACATTTATTGAGTACTCACTATGTGCTAGGTACTATGCTCAGGTCTCTCTGTAGCAACATTTCTTTAAACCTTACAAAAACTCTTATGAGGCCTTTATTTTGCTAAGGCTCAGAGAAACTGACTAATGTATCAAGATTAGGGTAGAAGACAGTGAAGCAAGAACACAATCTCACATAAAGACTTACCCTAACCTACCAAAAATACATTATTTCCTTGCCTATTCTGATAAGAAACTGAAACCATCCGAGTATGATGTATTAAGCATATGTTAAAAATTACCACTTAATGTAATTAAAACATTCATTTTGTATTGAGTTATTTTATTGGATCATTATTTAATGTTTCTTGACATGACAGTGTCAGGTAAGTGTGTATCTACCTATGAAAGAACAGAACTACCTTCTGGGAAATTTACAGTATTTATAGGTTTCTTATAACTACACTTCTGTTTAAATTAAATTAATGAAGACTAAGTAAAAATTTACCACAGGGAGGAGTAAGGTCCCTCATTGTGTAGCTTCTCTATGCACTAATAACCTCCTGGCATGACAGGAGACACCTCATGGACTGTTCATTTAAATCCTTACAAAGTATGACTTTTAGATCATGTAGCTGGTTTCTGTCACTTTTTCACCTTATCTCAATATCTGTGTTAAATGAACCAAATAAATTGCATGTGAATTCTTTATTCCTATTATGGCTTATTTCCACGCACGCTTCAGGTATTTACACACATTGTAAGATCACAAGATTGACGATTTTAGTCTATATGTCTTTAACTGAGCCTTGAAGATGGCTGGAGCAACTAGAGTAACTGTGAATATGGTAATGGTAATTCCATTACCATATTATGGAATGGACACATTCTGAGGCCCTTCTGCCCACTGTACTATAAATTCAGTCTTAACCGTAATGTGCTTCTGAAGTTCAACAGTGTCAGTTATTAAAAATTCCTGTTTAGTACACAATATCTGAAAAATATCTGGAAACAATTTATCTTGGAACGTATTCTTGGATGCATAATGTGTTTTTTTTTTCCAATTTAAAATAAACTTCATGCATCTCTGATGGAGAAATCATCAAACTTTCTTAAGGACTTCATAAGCACAGCTGTGACCGCTGAACATGGGATCACAAATTACCTCTGGTGGTGGTGGCCAAAGAAGCGAACGTCGACTTGATTGTCTTCTTTCTGCATGACTTTGGCTGGCCAAAACCCAAAACCTTTCATTTTAGCCCAAACCAGCTCATGATTAGGTATCTGGAAATTAAATGTTTTACCTTGTTATATTACTTTTAAAGTATTAAATGCAAGTGTACCATTAATATTAAACTAGTCACATATAATCCATTATTTCTAAAATATTTCTTTCATAACTCCTAAACACATACGAGATTTTTTTTCTGGGATTGACTGATTTTATATTTGCATCAGAGTGCCAACATGAACCTTATTCCTCAGAAGAGGTCGGGACTGGAGCAAGGCCATCCACATGTATGACGGTGGCAAACAAGAGCACCCGCTTGGCCAAGTGCAGCTGGGGAGCCAGCAGCTCCAGCACCCCTGGGAATTTGTTAGAAATGGGGAAATTTTAGGCTGGCACAGTACTGTCTTCACAGGGCTGGCTTCTCTCAGGCAGCCAAGGCTGCCGGCCAAGAATGCTCAGAATTCCCTTTGTCAGTGCACGGTTTGAAGCTGTATTATTTTGGGGAAATTATACAGCTACAGACAAAGGCAAAGCCTTAGGTCTCTTGTGAAAGGATGAAAGGAGAAACAAAAATTCACTTTATTAAGGGACCCAGACGCTGGGTGTGGTGGCTCATGCCTGTAATCCCAGCACTTTGGAAGGCCGAGGCGGGAGGACTGCTTGAACTCAGGAGTTTGAGACCAGCCTGAGCAACATGGTAAAACCCCATCTCTACAAAAAATACAAAAATTAGCCAGGTGTGGTGGCGTGTGCCTGTGGTCCCAGCTACTCTGGAGGCTGAGGTGGGAGAATCACTTGAGCCTGGAGGAGGTCAAGGCTACGGTGAGCTGAGATCACACCACTGCACTCAAGCCTGGGCGACAGAGTGAGACCCTGTCTCAAAAAGAAAAAGGACCCAATATTTATTTTTATTCAGTATCTCATTTTAAAATCAGAAATGGATAACAAGCCCTGTTACTTTTTTTCAGTTGTTTATACTCATTAAACCCATATATACTATGATATTTTAAAAATTTAGGAAGAAAATTATAATCTTTAACCAAACTGGAAATAAACTTCCTTAGAGCTGTATGTTACACACTTGAGGTAAAAATTTCACATACACAAGGATAACAGAACCAGTTGTCAGGACGAGCATTTGACAAGTAAAAGCAATTCTTGCAAAGCTGCAGTTCATCCAGCTGAAAAAGAAAAGAAACTACTTTAGCCTACATAAAATATACATACACATTAAACTATATAAAATGTATCCATGTAAATTAACATTCACGTATATAAATAGTGTTGAATTTTGTTTCTTAATCTTTTAAGCCTAAATTTTAAAGTTTTCAATAAATGGTACTGGAAGACCCTGTCACTGTCCTCTTAGAACCATGTCGCTGGTCTCAGGCCACAGTTGGAACAGAAGCTGAGGCTGGTCTGACTGGGCCCTGCCCGGACCTCACTGGTTAGCACTTCAGACTGAATATTCCTCAGGAAGGTAACAATATCTGCTGCCAATCACAGCAGTCCTTACCTTTGCCTCATGTATGTCAAACATGAAAATAAAAGACCTTTTTTTGTTTTGTTTTGAGACAGAATCTCATTTTGTCACCAGGCTGGGGTGCAGTGGCGCAATCTTGGCTCACTGCAACCTCCACCTTCCACGTTCAAGCGATTCTCCTGCCTCAGCCTCCCGAGTAGCTGGGACTACAGGCGTACACCACCACACCCAGCTAATTTTTGTATTTTTAGTAGAGACAGGGTTTCACCATGTTGGCCAGGATGGTCTCGATCTCTTGATCTCGTGATCCGCCCAACTTGGCCTCCCAAAGTGCTGGGATTACAGGCGTGAGCCCCCACGCCCGGCAATAAAAGACATTTAAAGGAAATGGCACAACTAAAATGTAGATAAGAGTGGAATCCTGAAATAAATTAATTTCAGTTATAGAAAGAGTATAACTATTGGGCAATGAATAGTACCTCATGACATGTGTCTTTATATAGCATCCTCGCAATGTCAGCTTGCTCACTGTCTGCTGTAATTAAAAATAGATATTACCTATAAGCAATAGTCTGCAAATACAAGACTCAAAGTTACTATCCTTTTCTTTCAGTTTGCAAAAGTAGACATCTACCATTTCAAACCAAAATGTCCATTTAAAATAACGATAGCAAAATAAAATTACACAGGCAGCTTTTGTTTTCCATCCAATACAACCACTAATTCTCAGGGTATAGAGAATGACCTTACCTTTGGATGATGTGGTACTAGTGGGGAAATGATCAGAATTAATCATAGTGCTTATTAAAAACCTCTCAGCTAAAACAAATACATATAAAACTGTAAAGAGTAATTGTGTTTTCATCATTTAGTATACTATGATTTTGTTTTTGGCCAGTCCATTCTATAATCTATATCACCAGATATTCCTAACCTTATACTCTAAACTTGTAGATCATTAAGGTATTAATTCTTTGAAAGTAATGTTTTATAAAAGATAGTGTTCAACATGGAATGTAAATGGTGTGTTTAAAAATGCATACAAAAAAAACAAAAATATTCAACCTCCATAGAAAATCACGGTATTGTGGAGAAGCAATTGGGCATCAGCTTTGAACTCTTCATAACTTCGGTATTTCCCTTCATTCACTTTCTGCAGAGGGCAAAAAACAGAATGACGAAAAGAGTTACCAGTAAAAATACTTGTCTGGACTAAGTTCACAGGACAAGCAGTCTTTTCTAGGATGACATCAGGATGACTACTGCCATCCCACAGTATTGACAGAGAATGTGTGTAAAAGAAGCCAACAACGCCACCTGCGGTTTTAATAATATAGTATAATGAAGCATGGCAGGTCAGATATCCCGCAGCCACAAAGACACTACATTAATTTATCAGAGTGAACTTTAATGGCTTGAACATCTCATTTGACAATAATGTAGAAAGCTGCTGCTAAGCTTGGTAGTGCACGAATGCTTGGGCCAGTGTGGGCGGTGAGACCCTAAGCACACACCTGTCATTCTTTACAACACAGGAGGATCGAGATTGAAAACAGAACTGTTAGCCTCTGTGACAGTTTACCATAACTACTAAGATATATTTATAGTTCTGAATTGGGGCTAGGAATTGGTTTATAAATAATTTTAAAATAACATCTCAGGTGTCCCTGTCTGTGACAAATCTTAGAGGATTTCAACAGGAAGGAACCTGCATGAGTAAAGGCAGTGGGGAAGAAGGGGCGTCTGGGTTCTTACATATTCTGTAGAGGTCTTACAGTTTAGAAGGGGCTATGGCTGGGGGTAGGAGGTAAAATTAAAACTACTTGGTTTTGTTCCAGGATTTACCAGTTACTTTAAGGGAAAAACCTTCATTTACCCTTATCTTATATTGAAATAATACAGCCACAGTCTTTCTTGGGTACTAAAGAAACTTGTGGCCGGGCGCGGTGGCTCACGCCTGTAATCCCAGCACTTTGGGAGGCCGAGGCGGGCAGATCACGAGGTCAGGAGATCGAGACCATCCTGGCTAAAACGGTGAAACCCCGTCTCTACTAAAAATACAAAAAATTAGGTGGGCGTGGTGTCGGGCGCCTGTAGTCCCAGCTACTCGGGAGGCTGAGGCAGGAGAATGGCGTGAACCCGGGAGGCAGAGCTTGCAGTGAGCCAAGATCACACCACTGCACTCCAGCCTGGGCGACAGAGTGAGACTCCGTCTCAAAAAAAAAAAGAAAAGAAACTTGTAAGATGATTTAAAATTATTCCTGTGGTCTCCCTATAGGCTATAATGACCAAGCGTTAAGATTTTAAATTTCCAACATGACACATGAGGTGCAAAATCAGTAATTCAGTAACCCTGACTGCAAATATGTCTACGTGTTCTACTGGATGTTGTTGCAATTTGTTACTGGACGTGAACAAACTAACAATCCTCAGCTATAGTTGGTAAAATTAAGACCTTTAAGAATAATTAACTTTTCTAATCATAATTTTTTTTGTTCATTTTATTGTTTCCCAAGACGGCAGATCAGTTCTATGCTTTACTTTTTTTTCTGAGAGGAACTCTCAGGTACCACTGCTAAACCTGGAAAACATTCTTTACATCTGAAATGCTAAATTGCCCAGGCTGTAAGGCATTTTCTTAAATCAACAAGGATCAAGAAGCTACAAGCTGCTCATCTTTAAAACCAGGCCTTTTAAAGATGACACCTAATTTGCATTAGAGTAAGCACATGAAATTTACAAATTAATAATGCTTCATTTGGTAGTTATGCCTGTCTTTTGTTTTAGGAAGTGGAAAAAAGTACACTTTCAAGGAAAGAAGAGCAACCAAAATCTGCTTAACTGCTACATTATTCTTTAACTTGTTAGTTAAGAAAATGTACTTGAAGTGGAAATAAAAGAAACCGACTTTACCTCTTGAATGGTGGGAACGTCCACAGCTGAGTGCACCAGCCTCCTGTACATCGGGTGTTTATTGTCCTTCCCCTTTTTATTAAGATCTATAGCCTAAGAGGGTGTTAGTACATCAATTTAAATGTGGTTAAAGGAAGGCAGGTAAGACATCAATTCCTAAAGCTCAAAATATTTTCTACCTTTTTATTTTTTATTTTTGTAGAGACAGGGTCTTGCCATCTTGCCCAGGCTGGTCTTGAACTCCTGGGCTCAAGCAATCCTCCTGCCTTGGCCTCCCAAAGTGCTGGGATTACAGGCGGGAGCCACGGCGCCCGGCCAATATTTTCTACCTTTAAAGCAAAATCTCAGAGGAAGTACTTTAAAACTTAACAGAAAAAATGTACATATACTACTATATAGTTTAATATGACATTCCTTAAAGTTGTGATAGAATAGTTATTTTGAAAAATTGCCTTTCATTTTAAAGAGTCATCATCAATGAAAATGTTCATTCTGATGAATGAAATTCAAAAATGTAAATGTTTCTAATCTCATGTAGCTTATGTCAAAATGTCTATGTCCAAAACAGACAAAACAAGAAAATCTAACTGCCTGTTATAGAACTGTTTACTGCAAAAAAGAAATATGACATGACGGGGTGCTCTCCACACTTCATATTGCTATGTACATATTTGTTACTTCTCGATCATTCAACTTTGAAAGAATGAACCATAGTAAAATGTGTTTTGGGATATTTTGAAAGATTCCCTGAGCAGGACTCACCCTCTCCTTCATGCGGGAGACAATGAATCTGAGGTATGTGCCCATCTCCTGTTTGTTTGTATTCTTCTTCTTAATGCTCTATTGAAAAAAAAAGAATAAAAAAAGGTACAAAATCTGATCATTCTTATGTCTATATTCATGTAAAAGACATATATGAAACACTTAGATAGTATGCAAAGAGTTTACTAAAAGTGCTCTTTTTCCAACATATCTGACAGAAATCTTTGACATTTGCATAAAAAAAACAGCATCTAATGTAACAAGGTGAGAACTTTAAAATATTATGTTGTACCTGATATAATATCCTTACAGGATTATATATTTTTTCTTTTCTTGGTATTTTAAAACTTAATTTTTAGATAAACAAATAATAGACATAAGGGATAATCGCTTATTTTACAAACAATATCAATGGCCTAAGTCCTTTGAGGGAACATCTTAAATTAGCAATAATGAATGGTGAATTTCAATACAACATTATTCTTCGTTTAAAAGGTAATTTTAAAAATCTGTGTCACTCACTTTGCACAGCGCAGCTGCATACTAACATCTCCATTTCTGAGCACCATGGATCTACTCAGTAATAACTCCAACTCTTAGTCTAGCCTGCAAGCTAATTAGGTTCCTCAATTTATTGCACCAAAAAAGTCTAACTTCACATGAAGAAAAAATAGGATTCTACGCATGTTATTTCTAAACAGCTAGGAAACAAGGACAAGTGTGCCTATTTCCTTAGTCAAAGTCCCTGATATTACAACAGCCTAAAGGAAGCAAAGGCAAAACTCCAGGCACGCGAACATCATCAGTTCATACTGCAGAGGAAATGAGTGGGTGTGGCCACTATTTTAATAGATGCTTTAACTTTTTCAGGTCACTAGATAATGATTCTCTGCCCAATGGTATAATTCTTCCTGAAAGAACTGTAAGCATAGGAAGTCACTTCAGTACACTAAATACAGTAGAGGAAAGGACAAATATTTCTCACATAACTGAGAACTTTTAGCTAGGGCTTAAGTGAATTGATTATACGTACGTACACTGTTTATAAACACATAAAATATCTAAATAACAAGTGGAAACACATTTTATTAGTGAGAAACTAAACTGAATTTCATTTACCTCATGTCTGCACTGCACCTTCCTGACCCCACTTCTCACCTAGGTTCTCTGGCAACGCAGTCAGTGCCCTCTCCTTATGCCGCTTTGTGGCCTGTGCCCACAGCTGCTCCGTTTACGCCAATTACAGAGCAGTTCTTCTCAACCCTGGCCTCGCATCAGAGATATGGACTAAACTTTTATACAACGTGGCTGGGCTTCACTCGCTGAGCATCTGGGTTGTGACTTCTGGTGGCAGGGCCTGTGATTCGTATTTGCTTGTTCATTTGTTTATTCCTCAGGTGACTGACGCATGGCCAAGACAGAGTGTCCATGGCATAGATATGGAATATAAAGTGCAATGAAATTTCCTGAGCCCTGGGTTTATAATCTTTTTTTCTGGTGGGGGCGGGGGGAGACAAATTGATATAACTTGAGAATTCTCTGTTTGAAAACTAACAGAAGAACTTAACTGAATTTAAAATGAGTGACACAGCCACATGAAGGAGGATATGAAGAACTCACTCAAGCAATTTATTAGCACAGTATTTGGCCACAGGCACTGTTGAGAGATAAAACTTTAAACAAACATTGAACTCTAGTTATTAAATTTGTTTAGTCAGCAGCATTGGTTAGCCACTCTTTAAAAAACTTTGTAAAAATTTTAATTGACAAAATGAAATTATATATACTTAATGGTGTACAATGTGATGTTTTGAAATACGTGCAATGGCGAAATAGAGCTAACTGGTTTTTGTAGTGAGAACACTTAAAACCACTCTCCTTTTTAACAAGATCCCCAGTGCTTTTCACACACACACACACACACACACACACATTTGCGAAATACTAGCGGGCACCTCTTGTACACTAGACCACAGTAAAAAATGATCCTCCATTTTTGCATTCTGCATGTCTCACAGGACTGCAGAAGGCGCTCTCCCTGGATCTGAAGCACAATCAATCAGCTACTTACTAGTATGGACATGCTTCGGTGCACTGCTTTCTGTACTAAGTAAGCAGTTTGATGAACTGTCAGATACAGGGAAGAGAAAACGTAAGAAGGCTGGAGATTGCTACGTTGTTCTTGGCGCTTATAAAATGTACATTCTTCTTAAAAGGAGAATAAAAACACATGCTTCTAGCTACATGGCCTTCTCTCATGCCAACTCAAACTCTGGGTGCACTATTAAAACTGATTTCAAATATCAATGTCATTAAAATATGAATTTATCTAAACTCAGACATAATAGCAATCTACACCAGGTTAGAAGTCTTGTAATACTATCAGTGGGGTTATAGTTCCTTTAATAGGAAACATATTATTCAAAGGAAAGATACAACCAACACTGTTATGTAGCGCTGAAATATAATTTTAATATTCACTAAATATCATGCACAGCCTTCCATCATTTCAACAAGGCAGGAATCCCTTCCCCTCTGGATGTTAGCTCTAGGCTCTGTGGTCCCTTGAGTAGTGACAGTGGGAGAGGAGGCCTGAGCCCTGCTGACCAGCCTGGCTGCATCCAGCACAAGGCCTCTTGCTTCTGTCTCAAGGCGCCGTGCGCTGCATTATGTGCAGGAGTTGCTGTTGTTGTTGTTTCCTTTCTGCGCTTTCACGTCTCTTGTTTCTAACTCTTTAGAAAATAAAGCCATCCACTGTTTCTATATGGGCAAAGATTATGCACTGCTAGAATCAGAATTTTATATCAGAATTAATATCACTATTGCTAAAACATCTTAACTAGATTGTTCTTAGTTTGAAACGGTACTACGGAAGTTTAGGTAACACTTGTTCATGTAATTACCCAGTTTAAATAAAGGTCTATATTCAGGTTCTATCTTTTTAAATAGAGAATTCACATAAATTGTAGATACTACACGCTCTCATAAACTTGGTTCTATGTGTTTAAATATTTTCAAATGAACTGCTAATTTGGTGTCACCATGTGCAAGCAACATTTCCCTATTTTGGGGAAGTCAGAATGCATATAGTTCATGCTGAGTGCCTTAATTAATTTCACAAAACTAAATGGTATAATAGAGGATGAAAGTCTGATTTTGTCTGTTTAAATTTGCTGAGAACTAGTTTGCTAGAGCATCTGTCTCCTTCTGAGTGCAGTCAAAAGTGGTCATCTGGGCCTGGAAAAATGAGTGAGTAAAGCATGAAAGGAAACAAGGTCATCTGGGTAGGGCCCACCCCATCTTCTCAACTCTGATGAAACTTCCAGAATTCTTTGAAGATATTACCTTCATAACTACCCCAGGAATGTCTTCTACCTCATTTTAACAGAGCACCATTCAGATTCAGATATCCTACTTAAGTGTTTATTACGTTAGGACCACCTGGGAACCCTTTAAGAAACATCAACATCTACTTCTAAAAAGTTCTAGAACAGGCCAAACTTATCCCTCACGGAAAATAATCAGAGGAATGGCTGTCTGGGGAGAGGGCGTGGGAGTGGGGATCTACTGGCCCAGGGACAAGAGCGAGCTTCCCCGTAGCTTGATGGGACTTGGCTGCACCAGTGCACGCCCTTGTCTGTTCTTCAAACGGCACAGCTAAGACTTGTGCATGTCAGTGTATGTGTGAATTTTACCTCAAAGGAAAAAGCCCACCGATGTCTCAGGTGCCGCCCCCAGAAATTCTGATACAATCGGCTGCGGGATGGGGTCTAGGCATTCATAGTCCTAAAAGCCCCCAGGGGTTTCTGATAGGTGTGGTTAAGAGCACTGCACCAACTTCCTAAGAGACCTCGTCATGTAAACACGGACAAGCGCACGCTGGTGCAGCAGCCCTGATTCTAACCTTTGCTGGTGTTCTGACAAGATGTAAAGTGGTGTATCTTCAAATGCTCTTTTAAAGGGATCTTGAGGTTAACCTGAGTTTTTATTTTGAACCCTAACGTACCAGCTCTAGGATGCTCTCAATCGACTTTACTGCACAAAGAGGAATACTTCTCTCATTTATATGCTAACAGTGCTATGGGAGTTATGTTTTAAGTATTTGGGTTGGTTTTTTCTTCAGTTATTACAGTTAGAAACGTCAATGATTTGGGCTGTATAGAAGGACTGACCAAACGGAATTTCACAGTCAAAGGAGATTATTTTGTTGAAAGCTTCCATGTTCCTTTTATCTACTTGTTGCCCCACCCACCTTTTTGGTGATAAATGAGGGATCTATTCCGGACACCATGAAGCCCTTCTCAAGCACTGCTCTGTGATGGGCCTCACACTACCCAAGGGAAGGCCACAGAGGCCGACAGAAGCTGCTCCCAGATTCACAGGCTGAGGAGCTTTCTCGCTGAACTGACACAAACAAAAAAGAGGACTCTCGACAGAACCAAAATCCCTCCCAATGATTTGTAGGAACAAAACATTTGCTGTAAGATGCTTTCACATTTGAAAAACTTGAGGGTTTTCTTTCCAAGACTTTCCAGTTATAATTTAGAGACTTGGTATTTCACAAAAGAAATCAACAGGACATTGCACATTCTGTCCCAGGTCTGTTCAAGGAGATTTCTGGGGATTTCTAAGGTAACAAGCCGTGGAGCCACTTTCTGTGGCGTTCACGCTGAAGTGCTTCAGCTGGTACCTGTCAGCCAGACCAAAACATTTTCAATGACTTGAGAAAAAGCTACAACTAAGAAAGAGGTAGCTTCTGAAGTAAACTAAGCAGATAGCTCTTGACAACAAGGTCAGAAAAACATAAAAACAATGCTTTATAATATGTACAGATTATTTCTGATCCAATTCTTTCTCAGGCTTTGAAGAATTATTCCTATTCTCTATTTGCAGGCCTGAGGATTCTTCAACCAAGGCCTCCCTGTAACAGGGTTCAGGTCAGAATCCAGAGTTCGTATCACCTGGTGGCATACGGGAGTGATTGTGGTCAACTTTTACAAATCATCAAGAAAGAAACATTCTATGAGATGGCAAAGTTGTTGTATTTAAAAGTGACGGTAATCGCATGTCTGAAGCAGGGTTGTAGACGTTTGCGTAAGAACTAAAGCAGATGTTGGGGCTGCCTCCTTTAAGAAAAAAATAACAGAAAATTTGAACATCTTGAACAAGGGATTCTTAAGCCAGTTGTAAGTAACTGCCAGGCTACACTGAATCGGATGACTCTAGGTAGAAACAACAGACAAAGCATGGTGCCCTTCGGTGTTTCTGCCTGGAAGACACTATTGGCCACTCCTGATCTTGTCCAAGTTTATCCATAGCTGATTATTGATAATGATGCCCAAGGATCATTACTTAAAGGGGCATTCAGGACTGAATACCTTTATTAGTACAGAATTTTCAGTTCTTTATAGCGATATAGTTTTTCAGTCATAGAAACCTATTTTGGCAGAAAATGAACTTGTGGAGATCTTGGTCATTTTGGTTCACTGACTATCCAAAAGCAGGAATGAAGTGCAAAATTGGAAATCTAGACTTCTTTTTTCAGACATATTTATCTATGCAGCTAGAGTTCACCTCAGCCAAGTCCCCATGTCTGTGATTAAATGAGACAAGGGCTTCAAACTTTCTTGGGCGTTCCCAATACTCAGTATATTCTTTACACAACAAACTAGACCAAAAGTCAAGAAGCATTTTGTGTAAAGGGCCAGAGAGCAAATATTTTAGGCTTTGCGACCATGTGGTTGGTCTCTGTCTCGACTACTTAATTCTGCTGTTGTAATGACAAAGCAATCGTGAATAATGCATACATCACGAGTGTGGCTGTGTTCCGATAAAACTTTTGGATACTAAAATTTGAATTTTTTATAATTTTCATGTCACAAAGTATTATTTGTCATTTTTCTTCAACAATCTGAAAACGTAAAAGTCATTCTTAGCTCACGGGCAGTACACATACACAGGTTGACCCCTAGAGGGAGTAAGTTTTGTGAAAGCAGGGTCCATAATGTCAATTTCAGCGGTGCATAGCATCTGGCACACAGTAAACGTTCGATACGTATCAGTTGAATTGAACTGGTGCCACTCATTACTGGCTTCATTGCCTACTAGAGAAACTATTCCATGCAGCTAAACTCAAGAATATGAGGACCCATCTAAAATGTGAAGCAGTTATACCCAAGTCTGTGTGTCAGCATATTCTGACCAACATAAATAATTTTATTTCTGATGTGTGAACCATTTTATTGCCAGATGACACTGAAATATCAATTGCTGACTTCTAACAATCAAGAATAATGTCACCAATAGCTCACTGAAATATTAGTGAGCATAGCCACCTACAGCACTTACTGGAAATGTAGATTCCTGAGCCTTACCCCCCAGAGCCTGTCTGGGGTAGAACCCTGGAGGCTGTAGTTTTTTTTTTTTTTTTTTTTTTTTTTTTTGAGACTGAGTCTCACTCTGTCGCCCAGGCTGGAGTGCAGTGGTGCGATCTCAACTCACTACAACCTCCGCATCCAGGGTTCAAGCAATCTTTCTGCCTCAGCCTCCTGAGTAGCTGGGACTACAGGCACGCACCAGCATGCTGGGCTAATTTTTGTATTTTTAGTAGAGACAGAGTTTCACCATATTGGCCAGGATTGTCTTGAACTCCTGACCTCATGATCCGCCCGCCTCGGCCTCCCACAGTGCTGGGATTACAGGCGTGAGCTACCGCGCTCGGTAGGAGACTGTGTTTTAAATAAGCTCACCAGGTGATTCCTGTACAGGTGGCCTCTAGATCTTATTTGGAGAAATACTAATCTACACATAAATTACTTATATCGTTTTAGGGATTAAACAGCTCCTAAATCTCCTCTATAATTGTAATAGCAGAAAACAAAATAATCAAAATAAATTCTCTTAGATAAAATTCTCTTAAAATTTATTTTGATTCTTTTGTGTTCTGAGATTATAGAGGAGATCTAGGAGCTTTTTAAAAATTTATTTTGATTCTATGTTGTTACAGAAATCAAAACACTCTGTAATATCGTCTAGGCCCACTTGCAACAATGGAATATAAAGGAATTACACATAATTTATATGAAGTCCCAATAATTGAGAAGTTAAAAGTGAAGCTGGTCCAGCGGAAGTGGTGATGAGTTACCCTGTCCTGCCACTTCTCCCTTCAAACCACTAAGACTCAAGTAGCCCATCAGTGAAAATCATTTTCTAAAACTATTTTCTAAAAATACACTCCTGTTCGGTTTTTTCACTCCCAGTACTGACACACTGAAATGGCCTACCTATTAGACCTGAAGAACAGTACATCACACTAATTGCTAGTATTAATGGTAGAAAACTCGACCTACCCACTTCTGCCTATGGAACGAATCACATTAAACTACACAGGATTCCACAGAGCCACATCCTAACTCCCACAGATTATCTGCCAACTGGTAGATAAGATACTCTCAGGTAAAAAAACTGAGAGTAGTTTTTTTAACTTATAAGAATTCAAGTTTAAAAACCTCCTGTAAGCTATCACAAATATGCCTTATTACAGGTAAAAGTAGGAACTCAAGATAATGCAAACTACTAAGAACGTCTCAAGGTGGATTCTTAGAACATCCTGGCAAATGAGACTCCAGTCACAGGCCACTCCTTAGTCAGTAAGTTAGTCCTGCAGAATTACTAACGCACAAGAATTGTTCATCCACATTTACAAAATGCCACTGAATGCCACTGTGGCTGTATCTACATTTATTAATTTTTACAAGGCCAACTCTTTCTTCTCTAAAGGAAGATAACAAATTTTGACTAAGATCAAGAGTTCACATGATATGAGCAGCTTTGTAGCAGCCAGTCTACTACTGGGCTGACTTAGTAACTATGAAAGCATCTCTCAAATATAGTCTACAAAACAAACCGTGATAGAAAAAAACATGTAGTATTTCTAAATCCACTATGCCCACAGGTACACACATACACACACACACCTGCTAAAATAGTATTTATCTACAGAGAGAAGGGTGCTATGCATGTCAGAAATTTTATCCTTCAATATTAATGCACTTTTTCTGGTAACTTTAAGCCCCTCGGTGGCTTGCTATATGACTTAGGAATAGGAAAGGGAAGTGAGAAAAATTTTATGGAACACAGGTTTGGTATCTACTTGTTCCTTTCCCCTTCTACATAACACTAGTCTCTAAAGGAAGAACAAGACTGAACGGCAGAGGCAGAATGCGTTCTTCAGCGGAATAAATCTTTCCATTCTTTTCAGAAAATAACTTAAATGTGTCTGTCTTCAGGTCGAGGCATGAATATGACTTGTTCTTTGATTAACGGGGCTGACATCCAGCCAATGTAAGTACTACCTACCTTCCCACTCCCTCTCATCGCTTCTGCACTGCAGAGGTAGCACAAGGAAACTGCATGTACTTTGTAAGTATTTTCTGTTCATGAACTTTGGAAACACTGAGTGAGCTTTCCATTTAATCTACATTAAGTTGTAAGCATCCTGATATAGGAAACACCCCAACTATCACCTTCTCAATCCCTTAGAGTGAAAATAAAAGATAAACTTCGAATAAGATTCTAAACAAACCACCAAAACATAGATCACAAAGGCCAAATACACCAACATACAAAACATTTCACAGTCATATCCTTTCTGATCATAACCACTGTTAAATTCACCACAGGAAGGTAATACAGTAAATTATATGAGCTTTTTTTCTTCTTCTTTGGGCCTAGATAACAATACATAGGATTTTATAGTTTTATATTGTAGATCCAATTTTTAAAATCCTCTGGCTTTATCAGTGTTCCCATTATTTTTTCCTCTGATTAAGCTTGTGGTGAACTGCAAATTTACCTTATAAAAGTGCGTGGCTCAGACACAATCTTTCTAAAATTAACTTTCTCCTTTTGTTAGTATAAAATTATAAGTTGTCTTAAAAATTGTAAAAATATTTGATTAATGTTCATTAGTTGTTTTCAATACTATGTCTACTATTTAAGAAAATAATGGCTTCAATCTCTACTTATTTAAAAATCAAATCTCCATTCTAGATTTGTTAATATGTATCTTGAAAGTGTAAAAGTACTTACATTTGGGGTGAAAATATTAATAAATTTCCCACACTAAAATATGCCTGATCAGAAAGCAAGAGCAGTTATAGCTTCATAGATACATAAGGAATTTATGTTCAAAGTATTTTCATTCAGCATTTGATCCCATTTTTCATTCTAAACATTATATGGGCATTCTCTTTACTGTTGGAATTTAAAAAGACTGTACTGCCTACATACCCAAAAGCATGAAAACTGTATCCAGAAACAAATTTCTCTAATTTCAACAGAGAGACTTCATCATGATTTTTTTTTCTTTAACTATCTCAACAACAAAAAGTTACAGTACAAATGGCTCAAACATAACCTACCCAGACCTAAGTCAACACTGACATGCCAGTCTGTACCCAATTGATAAAGCTCCAGGTGGACTCCCAATGGTGAGTTTTTAAAAAGTACATGAGGCTTAACATTCCAAGTTAAAATTTACTTTTAAATGCTTTCTATAGACTCCTGAGTCCATTTTTAAAGTCTTAACTTTCCTGCAAAACATGTATCATTCTGAGTATTTTAAGAAGGGCAGGAGCAAATAAATTTTAGGAATAGTTCCTACTAACGTGGAAGAACCACCAAACAGCTCTCTTGCTTAAGAACATGAGTCAGAGAATCAAGTGCTGCAAATTCGGGAGAGCTTTTTGGATTAGATGTAGAACCAAAGTATTTTGAAATTAGTAATAAAATTCTTCCACATAGATTCTTCTTTATTTCCTCATCTGCATTTTCTTGTGTTTCTACATCTTGTTAAGTGGGCTGATTTTGATTCACCCTACAATTTGTACATTAACATAAAATTTAAAACTTGTGATCCTTAAACAGAGAAAAATGCCACCTGAAACATTTGTAGGGGACGAGTCTTTTCCAGTTTTTAAAGACATACTGGAATAATATGTCACCTCTGTATTACCTTGACTTATTTACTTTGTCTTTTGTGACTTAATTTGATCCTTTTATTTCAAAGTGGGATGTACACCAAAGTTTGTTAATGATATAAAGAATAGTAATATAAAATTTTAATATTATCAAGCAATTGTAAAAATCCAAGACAAAACTCTTTGGAGGGATTTCAGTGGAGCGGTATTCCATTTCAGCGGGCCAAGTATGGAAAAGAAAACGGGTAGCTCACTGTAATTTTCCCATTTACTCACTTTCTCTGTAACTCACTTACTGTAAAAGCACATCATACAAAATTTAAAGCCCTAAATTCTATTTCCTAATGATAATTTTAGTCTAAATATGAAAACTGCATTTATCTGAATTTAAATAGGGGCAATAACATGAATCTACAACTCCTCTAAGTTATGAAATCAAAATTCATTTATGTAAGAAACATGCACATATTAAAGAGGAGGAAATAGGGGCCTACTTTCAAACCATGTCTCCAAATTCTTAACCTAAAAAGTGCCAATTATTTTGGGGAAAAAAATCTACACTTTGTTTTGCTACAGAGTTTTTTAAAAAGCTATTCTGCTGACAGACTTTTTATGAGGCATTAGAGCAAAAGCAACACTATCAGATATTATAGCCACTAATCTGTGCAGGGCAGTGTCTGCTATAGAATCTGCTGTGTATACTAGGGAGAGGAAGGGTGGGGAGTCAAGTAGTTATATGCTTCTTTAAGAACTCTCCAAGTCGTAACTCTGGCGTAATGGGGAGACAAATGCCAGGCACTCTCAAGAGATCAGTATTTTATACCTAAAGATGCTTTCTTGGAGTGGTATAGGCATTTAGAACATGAATGTTCTAAAACTGCACTATCTAATATGGTAGCCACAAGCCCCATGTGGCAAACTGCAATCCAGTTCTTTGGTCTACAAGTCACATTCAAGGGCTCCACAGACACACAAGGTCAGTGGCTCACACTGCACAGCACAGAGACCCTTTCCACCACCAAAGAAGCTCTCGAACAGCCCTGCTCTACAAGGCAATGTGCCACCCCAGCAGGCTGGCTGCCCAGGGGCTTCTTATGACAGACTGCCTTGCCCATGAATTACAGTATCATGATTTTCACCAGCAGGCTTGCAAGCCAGCAAGCATGGAGCACATGCACACATACGCAGGTCCAAGCACACGTCTGTCTCTAACCATGCCTTCAAAGTATAAAATGACTTTGTAATTTGGGAACTATATATATGAAAATGAAGCAAAAATAAAATGAGACAGCCGGTATGGTGGCACATGCCTGTAATCCCAGCACTTTGGGAGGCCAAGGCAGGAGGGTCACTCGAACTCTGGAATTCAAGATCAGCCAGGGCAATACAGCGAGACCCTGTCTCCAGAAAAAAATTTAAAAATGAGCCACACATACTGGTGTGTGCGTATAGTCCTAGCTACTCAGAAGCTGAGGCAGGAGGAGGCTGGCCCAGGAGGTTGAGGCTGCAGTGAGCCATGATTGTGCCACTGCACTCCAACCTGGGTGACAGAACAAGATCCTGCCTAAAAACACACATAAAAAACAAAAAAACAACGACAACAAAAAATTCATCTTATCAAATAGGCAACAAAAAATTGACAAATAGTTTCATGTGCTGTTGATGTACATGGGTATAATACTCTGAAGAACAAGTCAGTGATTTTTATCAAAAATTTAAACGTGTACACTATCCTTTAAACCTAAAAATCCCATGTTAATAAACTTATCCTACCAAAGGTGTTCAGACAGAATTACATAAATGTATATAATTTTCTATCTTTAAAAAATGCAATGGACTATATTGTGTTTTAAAGGTATTTCTTTTTTGTAAACAAAATCTTAAAATCTTAAAAGCAATTTTCACAAAAGAGTATGATTTTCTTATTTTTTTCCTGGAAAATTCATGGCTATTTCAGGAAAATAAAATTCAAATAAAACAAAATATAAACTTCAGTTTCATGCAGAAATAAATAATAATGAGAAGACTCCTCCTCAGAAGTTGGAAATGGGGCATGATTTCCAGGATAGCATTTGCATATGTCACCTTTGACAGGTGTTTCCATACCGAACAGTGGAAATGATGAACACCTGCTACATGAGGAACTGGTCACATAAGTTACAGCATGCCCTCTCAAATCATAACAGGTGCCAAAAAAAGGTCATTCTGGGGTACTGTCGAGTACATACACACTAGCCACATCCAGTAATTAATGTAAAGTCATGTGGATACAGATACAAACAAAATGACACACACACCAACACAGGAAGAAGTCTGTGAGAATATTACCTACTATGGAATACGGTTTCTGGGAATTTTTTCTTATCCTAAATTATTTGAATTTTTTATAGCAAATTTTAAAATCTCTTTTCTAAAATTTAATGAGAGAGATCTCAGTAAAAGTGTGAAACTGGACAGTATTTAAATCTTTCTCAAAGTAAAATCTAATCTGATATTAATAAGCTACTTTTCAATAATAATCTACTGTGTCCATAAAGCAAAAGTTTATTTTTTAGAAAGGCAGACATTCCAAAGAACTATTCTTAGGGTTATAGATTCTAGAGATTTATTATGAAAAGTCACAAAATTATTTTTGAGAAAAATGCCTATTACTGTCCTGTTAAAATATTTCAGAAATAGATACGTAAGATAAAGCTGCTTGAGCTGAATTAAATCTGGTAACACAGGTGACAGCTAGGAGACAGAACACCTGTTCTCAGTGACTTTTTCAACACTGTAAGGGAGAGAAAGGAATGTAAGAGTGAATAGTATTCCAATCACTGCAAACTCTTAGAAAAGGGCTTCTTTTCATTGTCAGTTTTAGGTAGTAATGGTTAGCTTCCATTTATTATTTTTACCATATGGAATTTGGCTATGGCACCTTATCTTCATCATTCTTTATCAACATATCTAATTAATCCATATTTTTCCAAACATTGAAAAAAAAACAGAGTAGAAAGTTATTCTGATTCGGAACCACAGTTCTTGAGTTTCTGTCTATAGACTCTAGGTTCTCTTAGTCCATGATTACTTAAATCTGGTCACTCTCCTAAAAAACGGCTTTACTCAAAGTTTTGACACTATATTTAAAATTTAAAACAAATCAACCAATAACTTCACCTTAAAGATATGAAAAACTCCGTTACAATTTCAAGATTATTATTACCCCTTCTCAAAGGAAAAGAATTGTTAGTACTTATCTTTTTCTTGAATACCATAAAACAATAGAATGGATCTAAAATGAATAACTATTTCTTTGGAAAATTTAAAGCTCAAGATAAAACTCTCCATCCTCACCCTAGAAAACAGGGTTTTTGAGCCTTAGCAGGGAGTAGCTCACATACCATAAAATGAATGAAAAATTCAAGATTTTTATTGACAGCATCATTTCAGTAAGCACAATTATATAGCAGTATAAAAATGTCTAGATTGACAAAGGCAAAAAGAAAGGAAAAGAGAAGAACAGAACAGAATAGGGTAATCATGTTTCTGTGTGAGCCAATACAGTGTAAAAATTTTTTAAATTTCATCCATTCAGTAAAGAGTAGAGGAAACACAGACTGGGCACGATGGCTCACAACAGTAATCTCAGCACTTTGGGAGGCCCAGGTGGGCAGATCACTTGAGGTCAGGAGTTCAAGACCAACCAGCCTGGCCACACCAACATGACAAAACCCCGTCTCTACTAAAAATACAAAAATTAGCCAGGTGTGGTGGCACGCACCTGTAATCCCAGCTACTCGGGAGGCTGAGGCAGAAGAATCACTTGAACCCAGGAAGTGGAGGTTGCAGTGAGCCGAGATCATGCCACTGCCCTCCAGCCTGGATGACAGAGAGAGACTCAGTCTCAGAAAAAAAAAAAAAGAGTAAAGGAAACACAAAATGGAATCAGACAACTTGATAGTGAATTCTGACGGAAGAAGTATTAAACATTTTCTTCAAAGGTATAATAATTGTTCAATTCCCATTCTTACCATAAGAAATACAAAATATCTACAAAGAAGCTTAACCTGTCCTCAGAAGTCCCAGTATTTTCGTTTAAGTTATTTACTATGAAAATAAGAATTAAATATTAAATACAAAAGAGCAATGGCTGTAGAGACACAGACATACCCAGAGCTGTATTTCCTAATTCCTGCATCCATATTAGGATCCCCATGTGACTACTAACATTGCCTCTTTTTTTTTTTGATCTCATTAATTTTCTACTTCCCCTAGGGTAAACTTCTATCAGAAAATGGAAGATGTATATTTGCTTTTAAAATGTACAATCGAAATCCACAAGAGAATAAAATATGAATATTAATACAGCTCCTTTGCTCCAAATTGTGAAACTTAGAGCACCACTTACACTAATTTCTTACAGACATTCTTGTAGACCTCAAAGAGGAGGTCTACATATTGAAAACTGATACTGATTTACTCAGACTTAGGGAACTGACATGACTTATTTGGCACCTAGGCATTTGAGTGGCAAGTCATCATTAAACATTTTTTAAAATGCTATCCCAACTGCCTGTTGTATGCCTAATGAGTAAGTATAACGTATATGGCAAGGCTAAGTACACTTAGGCAATACAAAGCCAGTTAGAAGACTAGAACATATACTGTAGTTTGCTTATGATGCTAACAGGAAATTTTCGACTAATGCCAGAGAGGGAAAAAGTTATGAAAAAATGTTTTTTGAAAAAGCAAAAAAATACTTAAATTACGCAAGTTATTATAAAGCATATTAACAAACTGGAAATCACGAGTAATCTCAACAATGTGCATGGTTCCAAATAAGTATTTTAATAGTTAAGTATAAAATAATAGAGGTTGCAATCAAATAATTCCTTATTACCATCGATGCCATATGTAATAAGTCACCACATATCACTCGTATACACACACATACCACATTCTGCAACTAACAATCACAGTATGTATATTCCTCAGTGGGATCAATGAATAAAAGTAATTGTGGAAAGTACCTTTTTTACCTATGGGGCAATTTCATTTTACTTTAAAAAAATAATTAGAATTCTTTATACACAATGTCTCATCCCTCCACCCTCCAAATAAAATATAAGCAAAAAAAAACAAACTCATGATATGACAAAAATAAAGGCAACATTACATGGATATAAAATGGGAAATAGATACAGAATGCCCCCAACAATGTGCCTTTTGCTAACTGTTTCCTGAATACCATAAATTGTACAGTTTATTACAAAGTAGCTATTGAACAGATGTTAGTAGGTTTCGTATTTCTGATGTCCAAAGGCCATCCATTAAATTAGTCACATAAGCCAGAGGCAGGTAAGGGAAGGGAAGAGGATATATTTTTACGTGATTAAAACTTTCTAAAATCCACACCCTGAAATACGGTGTATGTGTTCTGTGATGTCCATTTATGAGTATCATCATTTCATTAGATAACCCCCACCCTCCAGTCCTTTATCCGTTCACCTGGCAAGACCACCTGGGATATCTTTTTGAAGCTATTATGAATTAATTCCAACCCTCTAACCAGCACAGGAAAGCTCATAGGTACTCACCCTGCAAACTGGGCACTGCCAGGGACTACTGCTGTCTCTAAGCCTGAACTCATCAGACAAACACTTGGAATGATACACACGAAAACACAGGTCACATATCAACACCTCTCCAGGCAAATGGCATTCAAAACAATACCAGTCATGATTTTCTGTTTCCCAGTCCTACAAAAAAGTACAAAATAGTTTTGTATGACATTTTGTCAATATCTGCAATGACTAAGAACAAAATTGAAACTAATGTCCATCAGAAGTTAGGCATCATAAACAATTTAAAGACATTTACTGTGTTAAAACAAGAGGGAAAATACCTAGAAAGTTGCTGCTTTAAATTTTAAAATCTTTCCTAAAACAGTGGTAATATTCAGAAATATCTTAAGATAATGTGATAGCAAAACCAGTCCAAAATGAAGTATGTCCAAAGCCAACTCCAGTTCTAATGTTATCTTTCATTTTGAAATACAATCTAAGGAATAATTTCTTTAGTAAACTGAGAACCCCAAACCAACCTATAGCTTCGCATTTCAAATAAACAAACCTTTGTTTTGTTCTGCTTTACATATATATATATAACAGTCCTTGACACACTGTGGGAACAGAGAGAATAGTAATAACTGGTGATGCTCACTATTCTTATCTTCTCATCTGTGGCACTGGATGTTTTATTGAAAATAACCATTAATCAGAATGTCCATGTTCTGATAGGATGTCAGATTTTCAGAGCTGTTGAATTTGGAAAAATAAATTGAAACTGTGAAACTAAAGGTTTAATCACATTATCCAAAGGAGATTACCACAGAAAACAAAAAAGGAAGTAGCCTTATTTCCTGACTGGGGCTATTCCTAGAAATAAAAGAACACAACTGTAGGTACACAGGCATTCTTCAACATGTTCTTATTTTTGACACCTTTTTTTTATACAGCTAATACCCTTTAAGTATACAAAGCAAGTGTTAGAAGTTCTCTTAATTTAGAATTCATTATTTATAAATATTACTCTTAGCTTTTCTTAAAATATATTTATGCTAAGAGTGATGAGTTAATTCTCAACTTTATTTGTAGATGTAGTAACCAAATGAACAAGGGTAAAGTCCACAGTTAGTATAAACAGGGCCACTTCCAGTAGGGACCCTGACATTCCAAATTTGGGTTCCACCATCAATTTTATTTCTATAAATTGTTATCTATACGGTTTCCAAGGTGGAACAGCTTTACTGTTTTCTCTGATGTCAGTACTCCCCCAATAAATGGGCTTTCATGTAGCACTCACTCCATAAGCAGCAACTTCTTTGGAAACTAGGTTCAAACATGTTACTGCTTGACCATATCTGACTGCCAGATATGAAGGACTACCCAGTCCTTCAAAAGAGAAGAGATACATGAATGTTCAAAAATTCATGTCTTCCAAACCACATCCAGAGTCATGGCTAGAGTGTGGCAGTAAATCCTGCAAAAATGTAAACTTTCCGGTTTGCTTTTTATTAAGAAATTGGCAGTCTGTGTTGACCAAAGTAATAAAAAGACAATGACCATTTTTAGTTATTTGCTACAGATGTATACACTCTGCAAACTTCCTTTGGTATGGTAATTTCAGTTGGGCTGGAATCTTAAAATACTGATTTTTACATAAAACCCTGATTGCACATGGCACAAAATGATGTACTGCACAAAGTTGGGCACACTGGCATCACACAGACAACAATATATGTGTGTGGCGCTTGGCTGTATTAAAACAGTCATCCTTGGTGTATCCATTTGAGATGGGCTCATATGTAAGCTTCATTTTAGCTATTTCAATTTATCAATTATTATATTAAAAATCATTGACAAATTAGGTTTTGGTGGAAATAAGATATCTTATTCTACTTTTAATTAACAGTACTCTTTCCAAAGTTAAGACAAAATATTTCAGGATATTTTCTTCATACTCATAGCTGTTTTAAAAACATCTTAAGGGATTCTGGTGGCTTATATTTGACTCAATATTAAAAAGAAATTGCCATCATTCATCACTTGAATTTTTTACATTAATTCATCTTCATGTGCTGGGCAAAATATTATAGTAGTTACTAGGTTAATTAACAAAAGGAAGCAAGAGTATAATTCCTGTGCATACCTCTGGCCTCTCCACATTACCTTTACCTCTTTGCATCCCTACCCTTTCCCCATCCACCCATTAAATGAAGATAAAAATGGATCTTTGATAGGGTGTTTAATTCTTGACCTAGTTTTTCATAACCAATTACAGAAATGAAAGTATAACTCAAATGAAGTAAAAGAGAAACATCTGGACACATTTATATGATGGCATATAACCAACTCTATTCTCAGACAGAAAGTATGGGCTGGGGAAGCAGTGCTGTTGATTGTTTTAATCACGGCAATAGCTGTTCAGAATATGCAAAACATGCAAAAGTCAAGTTCAAAGTTACTAGACTCTGAATCCAGGAAACATTTTCCTGAGGGATGAATCATACAGGCATGTTGATTATAGGACAGGTTGCCTACAATTTGTCTTTTGGTAAATAGAGATCCTTTACATAATGCTTTTGACTAGCACTCAAACATGTATGTCAAAGAACCTAAGTTTGCATTTTCACTGGTTCCCCCAGATGTCATTAGCTACTCTAGAGATAGCCTGAGTAACAGCGTATGTGAAATGCCAATTCAAAACATGAAAGCTTTTAAATAGCAAACCTACTAGCATGAAATTCAAAATTAGAAGCCATGTAAAGATAGTATGGTTTTAACAAACAAATCTAGCAAGAGTTAACTAAGCTAGCCTAAGGTAAAAGAGAAACTACAATACAAAAAATAAAGCAGAATTATAGTAAAATAACATAGTGCAAAATTAGTTCACCTTGTTTGGGGCTGCTGTCCTGGAGAAAGGCTGCATACTATAGGCCTTTCAAAATAAAAACAAAATAATCTTGGTCTCGCTACTTAACTTTGCTAAATGTCAGGCAATACACAGGGCTAAAGGGATTTCACACAGGGCCAAACTGTTTATTATTTCCTATATGACTTATACTATTTTACAGATGATATTAACTGGTAATCTATCAATGTGCTAATTAATAACGAAAAGACAGAAGCATGCAAACATAAGAGTCATTACTAGTTGTAGAGGAAACGTTTCAACTAACAAACACAAAAGCTACAAATGGACATAGAGAAAATCTCCCGCCAATGTACCGTGAAAACTATAATGATATTAGAAAAATATTTTGCTAATAAATAAATTCAGTGCCATTATAAACTTGCGTAAGACATGAATGTATGTCTTATTAATTTAAAACTGGTTCACACTGGATTCTCTAAAAATCGGAAATGATGAATATGAGTGTGGTCAACTCAATACCTCACCATAACATGAAATTTATACAGGCTGTCCTCAGAATCTAGTAGAAAAATCCACCTCTAGCAGCAGCCTATTGATCTAAGTCTCTGTCATTCACATAGCATTTGGTTAAGACTCTGGAGCTCGATTGATTCAAATCCTGGCCCTGGCATTCGCAGCTGTATAATCTCAGGCAGAATGCTTAGCTTCTCTATGTGTCATTTTCTACCTATATAATGAACAAAATGATAGTACGCAGTCTACACGGTTTTTCTATGAATCACATGAGTCAATACGCAGACAGTCCTTACGGGAGTGCCTGGCACAATGTGAGCACCCAGGAAGTGTTGTTATTATTATCTACTCAGTGCACAGAACAGGAACTGACCAAGTCACAAAATGATAGAACATGCTTATAATTATATATGTGTGCACATTTCTTTGCTAGGCATTTTAAAATTCATTATCACATCTGTATTTCACAACAATTTTTTTTTTTTTTTTTGGAGACAGAATCTCGCCAGGCTGGAGTGCAACGGCGAAATCTCGGCTCACTGCAACCTCCGCCTCCCAGGTTCCAGCAATTCTTGCGCCTCAGCTTCCCAAGTAGCTGGAATTACAGGCGTGCGCCACCATACCCAGCTAATTTTTTTGTGTTTTTAGTAGAGACGGGATTTCGCCATGTTACCCAGGCCGATCTCAAACTCCTAAGCTTGGGCAATCTGCCCAAAGTGCTAGGATTACAGGTGTGAGCTACTGCACCCAGCCCACAATGCTTCTATATGCTAGATAGAGCAAGAAATATTAACTCTGACTTAGAGACCAAACCGAAGCACAGAAAGAGAGTTGCTCAGTCAAGTCAAAAGGGAGATATGTGGAAGAACTGTTTGAATAGTGTTCTAAAGTATAATCCACCCTCATCAATAATCCAAAAGCAATTTTTAATTTACTCTTTCTACTTAATGAGTAGATAAATATTACACAACCAAGTATGTGTGTTTGAGATAGCATTTTAATGTAGATGCAATGTAAAAATAATTGTCTACAATTCTAGGTTTAGCTTAATTAACAAATTCTGTTTATCATTAGGAGATAATAATCTGATGGTTACATATTTCCAGTAATTTTAAATATTACTTATATTTAAAATAAAAATATTACAACATTGCTCAGTGCAACAGAATTCAGACAGAAGGAAAAAGAAAAAACAAACATATACACACACAATCATAATAAACTTAAAAGAGTATATAACAAGACAGCATGACCCAAAAAATCCTCTTGAATAAGAAGGAAAGTATTTTACCAAAGCAAGAATAATTTCTAAGTATATTATAGTTTAAATGCACACAGAACCACAGTATAAATGATTTCTAATAATCACCGATAATTCACTTGGCAAATGATTGTGTTTTTGTAACTAAGATAGGGCATGGACATTTGGAAGAAATATGTGGTTCTGCGGTAAGTAACGTAAATAGAGTAAGTTGTATCTCACACCCCATAAACATATACACCTATCCATAAAAATTAAAAATTAACAAAAGGTATATTTCATATTAAATAAATCAACAGTATCCAAGGGGCATCAAATTTTGCACTAAGGGCACTTAAAACATACGATTGATTAACTTATGACAACTATTATAACTATAATTTTATCAAGAAAAAGACAAAGACCTAAAACTTTAAAAAGAAATTCTCACTGTAATATGCCATATATATATAAAAGGGTTGTGGGGGTTGGGGAGTCAGGCTCAGTTTGAATTTAGCCTCACTTAATATTTTCCTCAAGAACAACGCAAGGGCGCCCCTGCTTGCCATGGCTGCCTACGGTGGTAGTTCTGAAGAATAAAGCCATCAATTCCATTCCTATCTCCTATCTAAAAGATGTGAGCTAAGCTAAATTTCAAGAGAAATATAACCCAAAACTTTTTTTAGACTGGGCATTTTGAGGTGGGAGGAACAGATGATGACAGAAAAGAAGGGTCTATCTTGCCCCTCTGTAAATTAAGATTTAAGCTTGTTTATCCCCAATAGGTTAATCTCTTTAAGAAGCCAGAAAATATATATTTTCATTAATTATGCTGTTTTAATATGTGTCAAAAGCCTTAAATGAGAAAAAGCAAAAGACACAGAATTCTACCTTTTCATTTAAAAAGGTGTAGGCATGGTGGCTCATGCCTGCAATTCCAGCACTTTGGGTCACTGAGGCAGGAGGATCACTTGAAGCCAGGAGTTCAAGACCATCCTAGGCAACATAGCAAGACCCTGTCTCTACAAAAAATGAGAAAATTAGCTGGGTGTGGTAGTGCATGCCTGTAGTCCCAGCTACTTCGGAGGGTGAGGCAGGAGGATTGCTTGAGGCCAGGAGGTCAAGGCTGTAGTGAACCATGATTGCGCCACTGTACTCCAGGCTGGGTGACAAAGGGAGACCCTGTCTCAAAAAAAAAAAAAACAAAAAACAAAGATGCCCCCTAGGCCTATTTAAAAGTAGTATAATATCATGCGTGCAGTTGCTCTTGAGTCACAAGCAGCAAAACATACCGGTAGAAGGACTTTAACCAAAAGTATCAACGTGGTTCCTAAACTCATACATTATTTTTGTCCTGGCATTAACTGTGACAAGGAAATGAGGCTGTGAGACCAAACCTGGTAGGTAAGTAAAGGGAGAAGTAGTTTTACAGCAAACATCACTTTTTAATATTTTAAACTCATATATTATTTTTGTCCTGGCATTAACTATGACAAGGAAATGAGGCTGTGAGACCAAACCTGGTAGGTAAGTAAAGGGAGAAGTAGTTTTACAGCAAAGATCACTTTTTAATATTTTAAGTCATCCTCAACACTCTTGACTAAATTATTAAATGTGAGATCAAAAGTATCTGTCAAATAATATTCTAGCTTTGTGCCAAGGGCTGTCAATAAAGTTGGAAGTCACCAAATTAACACTAACCGCCTCAATTGCAAACGACATTATTTGATATGCTTTATCTGCAAATGATCCATCATTTAAGGTGACCTGCCTTAGTGTATTACATTAAAGCCTTTGTTAAGACCTTCTCATCTTTAGTGAGTATCTTATTGCTTAAGAGTATAACTCGTAAGATATTAACTTATATTTATCACAGAGAGCTGCTAAATACCAAATGTAACTTAGCCCAGCAAATGGTAAAATTCTGTCCAAGAAATACACTTCTCACATTTTAAGAATAAAGGTGGTGAAATACTGTGAAGAAATAAGGGTTTAGTGCAGCCATCCATGTGTCTTGCTCTAGAGCAAGCAGATGAAGCAACATATGAGCCTACAAGGACATAGAGCATTTCTTTTAAAAAATCAAAAGAAAAAAGTCTTGAAATAACAAAACATTGAATGACCAGATATCACAAAATTTCACTCAGTGGCCTGGTCTTGCGGTCTTTTTCCAATATAATTTTAAAAGCTTATGAAAATACCTTTAAATGAATTATGTGGACCCTATGAGTAAATGGTAATGACAGACCAATCTGGAAGTGTGAGATGACCATAGAGTGTAGAAACTAGTTGGCACACACAATTTTTTATGCATTTACTTTCTTAAGAGACAAGTCTTGCTACGCTGCCCAGGCTAGACTCAAACTCCTGGGTTCAAGCAATCCTCCTGCCACAGCCTCCCAAGTAGCTGTGACTACAGGTGTGTGCCATCACACCTGGCTCCTCAGTACGTATACTTCTGTTTGCTTGACTAATATTTGAGCAAACCATTTAAAATTGGGAGTGGCCTTACTTTAAATAATTACTTTTTTCATTCTACCATTTCATATGGTCATATTTAAAACATTACCACAAAGATGCTTATCTATTACCTAATTTTACCACAGTTTCTCCAAATGAATGATCACTTATGTGATCATTAGGGCTGCAAACGGTGGCTGAGATCAGCATCCCAAAATGCCTAAAATAACTGCAGTCCAAAAGAAGGAATCTCAGCACCATGCGGTCACTATCTTGGCCTTAAAATATATAGGCTTCCACTTGGATTATTTATAACTATATCCTGACATATTATATAGTTAGGCTTTTGTTACATGATTGCTAGATTTCATAAAAGTAATCTTGTTCAATATATGCATATTTCTCAATTGCTTCAAATTTTTAAAAATAAGCATTGAAAAAAAGTAGCAGAGGTGAAATAAAAATGTAACACCAACAAACTCTGACTTTTAAATTCCATCAGTAATAGGCAGCATAGAGAAAACTGCACTTTTGTCTACTTTCTCTTTATCAACAGAATTGTGGAATTGAAGACAAGAGTCCAGACTCTTTGCTGATACAAAGTATCTCAGGAGATATAACTTGTGGGACTTATCAAGATAAATACACCTTTTCCCCACCTGAGTTTACAGCAATTTTTAGAGATAACAGAAGGAAAAAAAAAGAGCTTTACCACCCATTTAAAAAATAACAGAACTGCCTAAGTAAAGAATATTTGTAACTTTGACTTAAACGTTTAAAAATAGATAACCAAAAACATCCTATGCCTTCCCTTCCTAAGGCCATATACATCTACTTGTCATGTTCCTTTCTTGATGGATAAATTACAACATACATCTTTCAGTTTAAAAAGTCAAGTTTTTAGAGACATCAAAGTGATTCATCCTATATATAAGGTGGTAAAACTATAAAGCATGGGCCCCAGACTCAAATGCTGGCATGTAGGACAATCATTAGCCCACAGAACACCATGTGCAAACTAGAAAAGGTGGCCCTTCCATAAGACACTCTTGTTGTTGTATGTTCATTTATTAGAATAAATGCACTGGTGACTTTTGAATAAATAGGCAAATATACAATGTCTGTGATGTGGATGGGGCTTCCTAAATTGTACAGTTCACATCTGGCACCCCCATATGCAACAACCTCCACGCACTGGCCATACATTAAAAAAAGTACACAAAGCTGGTCAGTACGAGATGCATGTGCTGTGCCTAGTGGGAAACAATTATATGTCCTCCTCCTAGAGTGTTATCAGGGCATGAAAATTGTGGCACATGGACAGTCGCTGAGTAGCCAGGTGGGACCCCAGCCAAGGTAACAAAATACACATATAATTTGTCTCATTATTTTAGAGTTACACTTTAAATAAAGATCCAGTGTTCTAATGGAAAACCTCTTTACAAGTCTTGTGTTTGAGAATACAGGTTGAAAAGTAAAAAGACCCTGAGTAGAATTTTTGCTTGTATAATTAGTAAGAAACTAATGTGCTTTTACTATATTATATACAGGCGTTTTTTGTTGTAAGCATATTTATTCATTGGTCAAAAACTTGCTTTGAGTACCTGGTTATACACTTTATGTAGATAATCTCATTTAATCTTTCAAACAATCAAATGAAATAGATATTAATATGCCCATACGACAGCTGAGGGCTGAGGATCAGAGGCTAAGAAATTTCCTCAAGGTTGCATAACTAAATAAAGGCTTGAATTGGATCTGAAACCCCTGTTTATTTGTGACATACGAGATCTTACTTCTTTCTAATAAACTACATTACCTCTGAATTTTAAATATTTACATATTTTATACACCAGGCACAATTTTGATATATTCACTTGTGCTTATATTATACAGCCATTTTAGAATAAAAATGTTTGCAAGAAAGAACCAATCAGAATTAAACCTGTATACTATATGTTTGGTTTACATATAATATTTCATCTAGACAGAAGAAAAAAGGATGATTCTATAAATATATGCAAGAACAACATATAAAAATAAAAATTAGAACATAGGACCTAATATAGTGGTAAAAATATAATGTGCTCATTAACGACTTATTGAATTAAACTAAACAAAAAAACTTCAACTTGAGGAGGAAGAAAGCATATAGGAAAGTACCAATCTAAACAGTAAAGAGAAATAAAATCGCTTTTATGAAAAAATGTACACATGATCCACAAACCAAAATCCTATAGATTAAGTTGCACTTACTGTTAGTTAATTACTATACAAATCTTGGATATTATCACTATAGTCTTCTATACTATCTATAAATTCCTAAGTGTTTTAAGATTAGAAATTTTACATTATCTGGATTATTCTGAGTATATAATAAGGTATCAACAATTAATGGCCCTCCTTTAAATACCTGAGGCAATAGACTGATACCACTTGACATTACTTTTATTATGTCTTGGCACCCTAAGTTTCTTCACTGGCAGCAAAGCTTTACTTTTCTGTAAGGCAACTCAATAGAAAAATTCTTCTTATATAAAGATTTCCACTTAACTTTTCAAGAATACTTCCAGTGCACAAATGAAATTACACCAGTGAAAGTAAAGATTTTTTCTTCCATGTTTTCTGTTGCTGGAAAATGTGAATGTTCTTTCCTGAAGCTTTGAAGGTGCAGATTAAATTGACAAAAACAAAGTTAAAGAAGTGAACAGCTTTTCTAAGTTTATACCTTATCACAGCTGTTGCTATAAACCACCTCCCCACAGGCACTTGCTAGTTAGTTTACTGCTCTCAGGCTTCACAGGTTAGTATGTTTGCTGGCTCATCTGCTGTAGAGCCAGAAAAGAAAATAAACTCAAACTTTTTGGAAAATTTTTCCACAAAGAACCAATTATAAGATTCTATGTCATTTTTATAATTTTAGATTTTAGAGAATTTATGATAAAACACTCTCAAAGTATGCAATTACTAAATCTATCCCTTTCACAAACTCAATCTATAGAAAGAGATAGATTTTTGAAAGGGATATGTCTATCTATATCTATAGATAGATTTTTTTTTTCTTTTTAAGAAAAAGATATCTATAGATAGATTTTTTTTTTTCTTTTTAGGAGACAGGGTCTTGCTCTGTCGCCCAGGCTACAGTACAGCAGCGGCATGACCATAGCTCATTGCAGCCCTAAACTCCTGGGCTCAAGTGATCCTCCTACCTCAGCCTCCTGGGTATCTGGTACTACAGGCATGTGCCACCACACCCAGCTAATTTTTTATTTTTTTGTAGAGATGGGGTTGTGTATTTTATTTTTTTTTGTAGAGATGGGGGCTATGTTGCCCAGGCTAGTGTTGAACTCCTGGGCTCAAGTGATCCTCCTGCTTTAGCCTTCCAAAGTGCTAGGACTACAGGCATGAGCCACCACACCTGGCCACATCTGTTACATTTGAAACCTATCATCTTAAATGATGTTCCCTTGTAAAAATTAACACATTTTAAATCAAGGTATTAGAAACAGCAAAATAAAATAAGGTAGGAAGATAGAAATATTACACATGAAATCAATCTTTACGTAAGAAAAAAATGTACTTCGATATGTGCCTCTGAGTTTAAAGGTACATAATGAAAGGAAAGAGAAGCAGATTAAAATATCAACATTTAAAAGAGGAGTCAAAGTGAGAACTAGGTAAAAACGTAAAGAGAATTAATGTTCTGTCTTTCCTATTTGATTTCTGTTCCAGTACACAAAACTTGCAATTGTCATTAGTCAACGTAGGCACTGGCCAGGAGAACTTAACGTTTGGAACCTTTGTACTCTGCCACAAAATTCCTACTGAAGCCTGCCTTTGGGCTGTGATACCATCCTACCTGAACTGAGGCTGTTTCCCTAGGAAGACGGTTCATCCCCTTCTATCTGTCTAGATGGCATCAACATTATCTGGCATGGAAACATTTTTTGCTAATATTTATTGACGAAAACACTTAGGAATGCCATGAAGTGTGGGTACATCAAAAGAGCTTTGGTTTGCTTTCTTTTTTAGATTCAAGGTAATATATAGAGAAGCAGGATCTTTGTAAAAGTGAGTCATCTCCTAAATAATTAGTAAGGAAAGTATCCATACTACCAATGTAGAGCCTTAATGTTGATACAAATGTTAAAATGAAATATTAAACTTCTGAAAATGATTTTCTATAGGTTGTATCTAAATAATGTTTAAAAGCTAAAAGTTCACATCTCTATGTTTATCAAATAAAATGTACTTACAATCTCATCTCCTGGCAACCAATATCCTTCTTGTTCAATACCAGCTTTTGAACCTTTGCAGCCCACTGTTAGAGTTTCGACAATAAGACCATCTTTCACAGCTAAGCTCAGCTGACGGGTGGTCTCTTTAGGGTGCATACCGTGGACTCGAGACATATACCTGAACACAGAGGAAAAACAAATTTAAAAATCTTTCAGTACTGAAAACTAAAAATGAATGAAAATAAGAAAATGGTGGTAATTTCTTTCATTATGACTTGTATTTATGAGAGTCCTGTTGAGATAAAGAACAAGATAAAGAACGAACACGATAAACAGAAAAGAAAGGAAAAGTCTTCAATACGCAACTCTTCCAATTATCATGCTATTTTAAACTCAAATTCTCTTCTGTAATGATTAGACCAAGATATGTTCAAAATAGTCCCAAATCAGCGAATATAAATCACTTAAGAGACTGTAGTCAAACATCCCATTTAGTTTTAGCCTCCAGAGGGAGCAATTACCACTAACTTCTACTCTACAGATTCTACATTTAGAATTTTATAATCTCCAACCATAGGACCTTAGAACTACAAACATATTTTGTAATACTTTTACCTAAAACTTAGGAAATGACACCAGAGAACATTTAGAAATTACACGAGTGCTTGTCAACATATAAGGAAAGCATGGACGCATGTTGTGATCAGTCAGGCAAAAACGTGATTTTCAGTGAAATATACTTTGAGTCACTGAAGCACGCAAACATTCCCTGATTTACCGTTACAAGGTATTTTTTTAAAACAAAAAAGTGAAATATATCCGACACACCCTGGATCACTGAGAATAACATTGCAGATTCCCTTGTATTCACCAACTATATTCAACTCATGTTAATATTCGGCATATTTGCTTTGTATCTTTTTTGTTTAATAAAGAAATAAATGTTATAAAGTTGGATTTGTGCCATTTTCCACTCTCCTCCAAACAAACCTCAACGCTGATCTCTCTCTCTCTCTATATATATATATACATATACATATATATATACACACACACACACACATCAATGTCAATGTATCTACCTGTATCTCCAGTTAACTACTAAACTTCAAAGAGATCTTTGGATATCCAGATAAAAAACATAGTGTGAGCTAAATCAGACTGGCCTCAGACTTCTCCAGAGAAACATTCCACGCTAGAAGTCAGGGGAGTAATGCCTCATAAGTCCTCAAGGAAATAAGGGTGACAAAACTAGCATGTTTGGACTAGCTCCCACCTTCTTCCTTCTCCACCTCATTGTTACAGATGTTGCCACTGTCAGGGCTAACGTTCTGTTCTCTGATCATAATTCCCACCTCTCTTTCTGTCTTAGTCCTTCTGTTAACTGCATTGACAGAACAAGCAATGTTGAAGGGGAAAATGTGCTAATGTCCTCGACGCCCACAGTGCAGAGTCATGAACAACTATCTCAGGGACTGAGTGCACTATCTGAATATATAAACATCACCCTTAAAACAAAAAACATTTTTTCATGTGTCTTTTGGCTGCATAAACGTCTTCTTTTGAGAAGTGTCTGTTCATGTCCTTCGTCCACTTTTTGTTGGGGTTATTTGTTTTTTTCTTGTAAATTTGTTTGAGTTCACTGTAGATTCTGGATATTAGCCCTTTGTCAGATGAGTAGGTTGTGAAAATTTTCTCCCATTTTGTAGGTTGCCTGTTCACTCTGATGGCAGTTTCTTTTGCTGTGCAGAAGCTCTTTAATTAGATCCCATTTGTCAATTTTGGCTTTTGTTGCCATTGCTTTTGGTGTTTTAGACACGAAGTCCTTGCCCATGCCTATGTCCTGAATGGTAAGGCCTAGGTTTTCTTCTAGGGTTTTTATGGTTTTAGGTCAAACGTTTAAGTCTTTAATCCATCTTGAATTAATTTTTGTATAAGGTGTAAGGAAGGGATCCAGTTTCAGCTTTCTACATATGGCTAGCCAGTTTTCCCAGCACCATTTATTAAATAAGGAATCCTTTCCCCATTGCTTGTTTTTCTCAGGTTTGTCAAAGATCAGATAGTTGTAGATATGCGGCATTATTTCTGAGGGCTCCGTTCTGTTCCATTGATCTATATGTCTGTTTTGGTACCAGTACCATGCTGTTTTGGTTACTGTAGCCTTGTGGTATAGTTTGAAGTCAGGTAGCGTGATGCCTCTGGCTTTATTCTTTTGGCTTAGGATTGACTTGGCGATGTGGGCTCTTTTTTGGTTCCATATGAACTTTAAAGTAGTTTTTTCCAATTCTGTGAAGAAAGTCATTGGTAGCTTGATGGGGATGGCATTGAATCTATAAATTACCTTGGGCAGTATGGCCATTTTCACGATATTGATTCTTCCTCTCCATGAGCATGGAATGTTCTTCCATTTGTTTGTATCCTCTTTTATTTCATTGAGCAGTGGTTTGTAGTTCTCCTTGAAGAGGTCCTTCACATTCCTTGCCATCAGAGAAATGCCAATCAAAACCACAATGAGATACCATCTCACACCAGTTAGAATGGCAGTCATTAAAAAGTCAGGAAACAACAGGTGCTGGAGAGGATGTGGAGAAACAGGAACACTTTTACACTGTTGGTGGGACTGTAAACTAGTTCAACCATTGTGGAAGACAGTGTGGCGATTCCCCAGGGATCTAGAACTAGAAATACCATTTGACCCAGCCATCCCATTAGTGGGTATATACCCAAAGGACTATAAATCATGCTGCTATAAAGACACATGCACATGTATGTTTACTGCGGCACTATTCACAATAGCAAAGACTTGGAACCAACCCAAATGTCCATGAGTGATAGACTGGATTAAGAAAATGTGGCACATATACACCATGGAATACTATGCAGCCATAAAAAATGATGAGTACATGTCCTTTGTAGGGACATGGATGAAATTGGAAATCATCATTCTCAGTAAACTATCGCAAGGACAAAAAACCAAACACTGCATGTTCTCACTCATAGATGGGAATTGAACAATGAGAACACATGGACACAGGAAGGGGAACATCACACTCTGGGGACTGTTGTGGGGTCGGGGGAGTGGGGAGGCATAGCATTAGGAGATATACCTAATGCTAAATGATGAGTTAATGGGTGCAGCACACCAGCATGGCACATGTATACATATGAAACCTGCACATTGTGCACATGTACCCTAAAACTTAAAGTATAATAATAATAAAAAAATTAAAAAAATAAAAATTAAAACATTTCTAAGCTATCTGAAGAAACTCAAAGAAAATGTGTTACGTAGTGATAAAGTGATAAAAACAGAAGGCGTAGTACGTATGAGAAGACCAAAACCAGACATGTTTGTCTTTTTAGTAAATACAAATGGGCTAAACTCAACAATTTAAAAACAGTGACTCAGAAAGACTGAAAACAAATGGGAAAAAGCATATCATAAAAATGCTACCTAAATGAAGCAGGGGTCAAGATGGAAGTGTATAGGATTTGGAAAACAAGGCAAAAATCATTCTTAAAAAAGACAGAGCATAGTTATAATGCAAACAACTATAGGAAATAAAAGAAATACTGACAGAAATATAAAATTATGAGATTTTAATTCAATTCTCTCAGTTCACAAAAAAGTCAACTGGACAAAAAACTAAGTATGGCTATAGAAGACCTAACTAATAAGACAGAGCTATTGATTTATTATTATTTTTGAGATGGAATCTCACTCTGTTGCCCAGGCTGGAGCACAGTGGCATGATCTCGGCTCACTGCAACCTCTGCCTCCTGGGTTCAAGTGATTCTCCTGACTCAGCCTCCCAAGTAGCTGGGACTACAGGTGCTGGCCACCACGCCTGGCTAATTTTTGTATTTTTAGTAGAGATGGGGTTTCACCATGTTGGTCAGGCTAGTCTTGAAGTCGTGACCTCAGGTGATCCACCCGCCTCGGCCTCCCAAAGTGCCGGGATTACAGGCGTGAGCCACCGCGCCCGGCCTGATTTTTTATTTGTTGATTATTTATCTAGTTGATTTATTCTGAAACAAAAAAAAAAAAAAAACAACCTTAGGACAGGTCTATTGATTTATCCTGACACCAAAAAAACACCTTTAATAGGTCCAGAAGACATACATAACAACTGACCACAAAATCACCACAAAGATGACTTGAAGAGATTCCAAAAGTTATACACGCCATTGTTAATCATGGTGAAATTAAACCAGATATTAATAACAAAACCAGAAAACCCTCATAAACAACCACCGAGTCAAAAAAAAAAAGTTACTTAAAAATTACAAAAGATCTAAATGAAAAGCTAAAGCAATGCTGTTAAAAAAGAAAATGTGTAGAATCCAGGAACTCCTTTTTTTTTATTTTTTATTTTTTGTACAGGGTCTCACTCTGCCACCCAGGCTGCAGTACAATAGCACAATCATGGCTCACTGCAGGCTTGACCTCCCATCCTCAAGTGCTCCTCCCACCTCAGCCTCCTGAGAAGCTGGGATTACAGCCACACACCACTACACCTGACTAACTTTTTAATTTTTTGTAGAAACAGGGTCTCACTATGTTGCCCTGGCTGGTCTCAAACTCTCAGCCTCAAGTCATCCTCCCACCTCAGCCTCTCAAAGTGCTAGGATTACAGGCATGAGCTACCATGCCTGGCCCAAGAACTCCTTCTTAGGGAAAAATAAAAGAGGTATCATTACCTAATCTAATTCACAGTGAAGACACAAAGCACAAACATACAAAAAAATGCTACAGGGAGACAGCTATATATAAAAAGGAAATTAAAATAGAAGCAACTACTTTGTTCAGTTCTGTGTAAAAATATAAACACTATGATTTTATAAGAAAATATAAATAACCAAAACCTGAACACAGAATAAAACAGAACCTTTAAAAGGCCAATTTCCAAAGAAATAAATAGAAGAAGTTTGCGAAGAGCTTCCCCAGAAAAACATCAGCTACAGACATATTCGTAAGTTACTTCTATCAAACTTATAATGACCAGGTAACTCCAATGAGACTCAAACTCTTCCAGTGCACAATCATAGGAAAGCAAGGAATCTAGCATGTAATGGTAAGAAAACCCCACAAAACAGCATAGACAAAGAAAATCAGTGACCTGTAGAAATAGTGATATAAAAATCCTACATAAAATATTTGAATATAATCTAATATTAAATACAAATATATAAATATTAATATATTCAATGTCAAAATAATATACTAATTCTAGGAATTGAAGGAAGATTTAATATGAAGACATTTAAAAATATAGTTTACTCCATTAACAGGTCAAAAATAAACTATCATGAAGATTTTGATAACACGTTGAAAGGCATTTAGGAAAATTCAATACCTAGCCCTTAACAAAACAAGAATGAGTAAATACTTCTGTAACCTAATCAAGAATATTCAAAGATGTCTGTGGTTGTCACTTTTCCTTAACACTCTGCAAAGGTAATAACCAACATAACTGGACTAGTTATAAAAGTTGATAAGGAGTTTGCAAATCATGTATCTAGAAAACCCAAGAAAATCAGCTGATATGCTTTTTTAAGTAATTTAAATTAAGTATATAGTTCAATAAATTCTTTGGGTACAAACTAATTTACTAACAGCATTCATATACAGAAACCAAAAAGACAGGTGATTGAAAAGAAGACCAAAACTCAATTATTTACAACAACAGTAAGAAAAATAAAATTTCCAGGAAGAAATAGAATGACAAAATTTGTGTAAATTCTGAAATTCTACTGATGCAAAGAAAAAAGATGAACAAATCGGAATTTTCATTACAGTAAAAGTGGCATTTCACATTATTGGTAGAAAGACTGATTAATCAATGCAGGACATTGGGACAACTGGTTATCTAACCTAGGAAAGGAGAGGGAGCCCTACCTTAGATTGTATCTATAAATTATAGATAGATCAGATTTAAATATGGACAACAAAACCACACAATTGTTCAGCATGTGTGAAATAACACACATACAAGGAAGGAAATTCATTTTAGTATTGCTGGCAGCAAGAAACAATTAGAAATAATGTAAATATATATCTTAGGGGACTGGTTAAATAACTGATAACTGTACCAAGGATTATTACACAGTTTTCACAAGAAATGAAGCAATGTTATAGGTGTTAAGATGACATAAGCTCTATATTACATTTTTTTAAAAAAATCGTGGTATAAGACACTACTATTTTTCAAAACACTGTATAACTGATGTGCACAAAAGAGTTCTAGAGCTTGATTCCTTCCAGAAACTGCAGAGAGGGGCTCAGGGAACAAGGGATGGGAGAAGACTTTTTTCCACAGTATGCCCCTTGGAATTTCATTTGTATCTATTAGCTAGACGATTTTTACTTTTAAAAAAGTAGCTACCATTTACCATTCCTCCAGAACATACAAGTTTCCTGCTCCCATGTAAGCTTGCCAGCCTTAGGGAGTTCCTCTCCTTCTTTTTCAGACTCATTGTGGCTCTTCTTGGTCCCATATTCATCCACAGTAATTTTAAAGTCAGTTTGCCAAAATCCACAAAAATAGTTAAATCTCCATAACCAAGTTAAGAATATCCACTGATGAAATTGGTACATATGCTCATTTATTTATATATTTTTCTATGTCTTTAATATGGTTTTATAATTTGTATCCATAAGATTTGTACATATCTTTTGGGTTTTTCCTAGATATTTTACATTTACTGTTTTTTTTTAAAATGGAATTTTATTTTATATAGTATTTCCTGGTTGGTGGTTGCTGGTATTTATTGGGCAGTCTGCTTACCTCTCTTTATAGTTTCAGGTTTGTCTGCAAATTCTATTGGACTTGTTTCTCATCAAGCTGATTAGGACTTCTAGTAAAGTGCACACCATACGTAGTAACAGTGGGTATCCTTATCTTGTTTTAGATTTTGTAGGGGATTCTTATAACAGTTCACCATTAAACATGACTCTTGAGGATGCTTATTGGTAAACATATCTTATAAATATAAAATGATAAATATAAATGCAAATATGATGCTTGCTATAGGATTTTGATGCATAACTTTTATTGAGGACATTTCTTTCCAGTTTGCTAAGTGTTTTTTTTTAATGGCACTGCATTTTATTATTCCTTGATATATTTTTATCCACAGACTTTCACCACACAATGGGTTTTCTTAGCCACTAAGAAACAACCATAGAGCATGGATTAACACACAACACAAGAAGAGGTCTGCTTTGTTGTTAGTCCTAGCATGTTGGGCTCAACTTTCTTATTTTAAAGTGAAATAAAGTCAGTGAAAACAATACATTCTGGTCATTTCGTTCTCTATCTTTGGTCTTTGAGGGACTAAAAAAGATGTATGCCATGAAGAGCAGGTTGGAATGAGGGAGCCCTTTCACAGATGAAGGTCAGGAGAGAGTATGGCTGAAGGATGAGTCGCAACTAGCACACACGAATGACAACAACGCAAAACTAAGTGCTTCCTCCTATACTGATGCACCTTGAGAATCTAACAAAGGAGTCAATAACTTTGTTTTCTGGATGGAAAGTTTTGAGTTTAGGCAAATTAGAATAAAGAATAACTGATCTAGTATATATTAGAAGTGTCATCTAAGGGCTAACGTGTTCATTATTTATAATGGTTGTGTCAAGAAATACAAGCTCATAAAGTAATGTCTAAACCTGATGAATTTATGTTTTCCTGCTCACTCTTCTATTCTTTAAAAATATATATTGTTATGTTCTTAAGAAATAAGTTCAAAGAAATTCATACCTATTTTTCTTCAAAAGTAAAGCAAAAGGTTAGAACCGAGCCAGAACACTGTAAATATTAAGTAACTAGAGGAGTACTGTGATCCTACTGCGTATTACAGGCCAAATATATTTGATAAGGCTTAAGATTTTCTGGAATTAATAATAAACTCTGAAGGCTGATTTACACAATACCTCAAATGTAACAATGGGTCCCAATTCATTATTCATTTTCTTAGATCATCAAGTACTCAGGCAGGTTTGCATCATGTGAAAACATATTTGTTAGCATTCAGATAAAGGATACTCCAGGTCTCTCATTTTCTTATAACTGCTTAATCTATAACAAGAACTTTTCTTCTTCCAATAAAGAGAAAACAGAACAATTTGGGTTTGAGATACACTGATAAGTGGCCTTCTAGTCTGCTATTTTAATTTCACTTAATACCGCAGGTCAGGAAATGGCATGTAAATGTCTAATATTAAAGTATACATTCAATTTCTCTGAACTTTTTCAATAACTTCCTCCTCATTTTCTCGCACCCCACTGCATTCCCACAGCTTTCCACCATCTGGCACCCCAGAGCGCTCCCTTCTCTCCCAGGGTGCGAGCTTCCATGGGACGCTGAGTACTCAAGTGCCTCCAAGCCACAGGCCTGAGATGATCCCCTCCCCGAGATCATTCTGAAAGTTCCAAGACGAATACATATATATATAATGTGTGTGTGTGTGTGTGTGTATTTCATGGTAACAGCCACTGATTATTTAACATTTTTACAAAAGTAAGAAATCTCATGAGTCATAATTTCCTGAAAGTAATTACCTACTTTTAAGCCTTCTAACAATGATTCAATCTCAGAAACTTCTGCCATCTCATTTGAAATGAATATATTGGAAAATGAGCACATTAATAAAAACAGTATAAAAACAGCCACAACCAGTGGAAGAACGAACCACCACAGAATGCAGTGATGTGTTTTCTATCAATGAAAAACATAACAAATGCCTGTGATGTCTTCTTGTCCCTCATAAATAGTTCACACCACTGTGGAGTCCAGAGGCCTTTTACAATGTTGATGGTAACATAAATTTATTTTAAGTGTATTCTAGGTAATCTGGATAAACACCTTAAGACTTAGGACTGCCCCCCAATTTCAGTACCTTATGGCCCCCTACTGGCTCAGTGTACTGGCTCAGAGGACTGAAAACATCAGAATCATAAAATTTGAGATAGAAATTTAAATGAATATTGATCTAGTATCTTGCTGTCAAAAGACTTTATGAGTATAAAAGCTATGGAAGTATAACAGGAGGAGATGCAAAATACCTGACTAGATTAGAAATGTTGAATTTCTTTATGACACAAACATCTGAAACTCATTTTTTCTGGCCTCTGAAGCAATTATCACTAATTTCCATTTTGTAAATTAAAAGAAAACAATAAAATGGAAAAACATTTATGACAAATATGACAAAAAGTTTATATTCTAAAAATGCGAAACTAAAACAGGAAAACAATTTTTCCTTCTTAAATCAGCAAGATATTTAAAATAATTATTCTCAATGTAGTAAAGAGGCATCAAGACAGCCACCCTCAACACACTGCTATTGAAAGCACTTTCTAGAAAGCAGTCCAGCATTACACATCAACAGCCTTACAGATAATCCTATCACTTGACAGCCATTCTATTTCTAAGTAAATAACTTGAGATGGGGCAAGACTTATGTCTTAATAGAAAAATGCTTCCAGCCGGAAGTGGTGGCTCATGCTTGTAATCTCAGCACTTTGGGAGGCCAAGGTGAGATCACTTGAGCTCAGCAGTTCAAGATCAGCCTGGGCAATACAGCAAGACCCTGTCTCTAAAAAATAAATATATACACACATATTTATTATAACATATATTATTATATATATAGGGTGTATATATAATATATATTGTTATATATACATATATACACATATATACACATATATGTATATATGTTATATATAATACATATTATATGTTATATATTATATATAATATACATTTTATACATATTATATATTATATATAATTATATATTTTATATTATATATATATTTTTATATATATTATACACACACACACACACACACCCTAGCCAGGCATGGCAGCACATGTCTGTAGTCTCAGCTAACCCTAACTTGAACCCTTCCCTCCCTGCCAAAACCTCTGTTAGAGTGTTTTAGAAAAAGAAATGGTGTGTATTCATCATTCCTACGGGCCAGGGAAGTGGTGACCTTTTTAGAAAATCTGAGGTATTTTCTTATTTAGCCAGGCATGGTAGTGCACACCTGTAGTCCCAACTACTCAGGAGGCTGAGGTGGGAGGATTGCTTGAGCCCAGGAGGTAGAGGCTGCAGTGAGTCGTGATCACACCACTGCACTCCAGCCTGGATGACAGAACAAGACCCTGTCTCAAAAAAAAGAAAAAAATGTTTTCCACATCATAAAATTTTATAGTTAAAAAAAGGAACTAAATGTTAATACTAGTAAAATAAGTTAAAGTATATCCACTTGATAGAATACTATGCAGTTAATAAAATTAATGTTTCAAAAAACAATGTTGTGGCAGGCCACAGTGGCTCAGACCTATAATCCCAGCACTTTAGGAGGCTGAGACAGGAGGGTCACTTTAGCCCAGGATTTTGATACCAGCTGGGCAGCATAGTAAGACCTCGTCTCTACAAAAAAAATTTTAAAAAATTAGCCAAGCACGGTGGCATGCACCTGTAGTCCCAGTCAAGGAGGAGGCTGACACAGGAGGACCGCTTAAGCCCAGAAAGTCAAGACTGCAAGAGAGCTGTGATTGCACCACTGCATTTCTGCCTAGGCGACACTGTCTCCAAGAAAAACAACAATGGTATGAGAAAATGCTCACAGTGTATATAATAAGGATAAGATTTAAAATTATATATGCATATACATACGTACATGCATACACAGAAAGAAAGAGACAGAGACGGAGGGAGAGAGGGAGGGAGGGAGGGAGGAAGAGAGGGAGGGAGTGAGGGAGGGAGGGATGGGAAGGGGAATGGGGAGAGAGAGCGAGCGAGGGGGGAAGGGAGAGAGAGAGAGTTCTGCTACCAATAATAATTTATTGGGTTGTTCAGATCAATCCTTCCATTGAAAACTAGAAAAACCAAAGAAAATACTAAAAAAATAATTCATTTAGCAGCATCTGCCAATTCTGGAAAAGGCAAGTGAGAGGCTCAGAAGCTAGGCAGAGCTTTTGACAATCTCATGGGGACAGGGAGACAAAAACTGTAATTCAGGTGCACCAAGAAAGGGAGCCTTGGCAAGAACCCACGGACTAGGTTGTGATCCTGAAAGACTCTGCTTAAAGCTAACCTGGAAAGAGCTTGGTGTGCATACACACTAAAAGCCCAGCTTCAATCATGTCAATTCCTGATTTGATTAAGGTGATGTGAAATTGGTGGTCCACCAGACATCATCATCCTAGCGCCTGCATCTCTCTAATCTATATTTCAAATAGATATATGGCACACAATTAATAAAAACACTCACATGGGAGTTGAAAGAACATGCAATATGCAAGTACCTATTTGTATGTAAAGTCCTAGGCTAGAGTGTAATAATCCTTCTTTTCAGTTCTGTCCCACTGTCTAAATATCAAGCACAGAAATACTTCTTATGGACCTCCAGTGACTCTAGGAAAAATGCCAACGAGAGGTGAAATATTTTAGTTTTCATAACACTAAAATATGAACCCTTTTCATAATTTCTATTTAATCAAAACTGTTGAGTCTTAATTTCCCTTATTTCTGAATTAAAAATAATTTACAGTATTTGCTGAATATAGATACAGTGTAAAGATTTTATGGGGATTAACCAAAAAATCCCTTCCTTTCAATTATATTTTTGTTAACAGTAAAGGTATTATACTTTTTTTTTAAAAATGTTCTCCATTATGATTACCCCAAATGTTACACTGTAAATAATTACTTTAGATTTTGATCTCTATTATTTATGCAGTGACCATATTTAAACTGGTAAAGTAAAACATTTAGTAATTTTAAAGCTAGGTAGAGACCTAGATACCCCTTCAAATAACAGGCAAAGTTTTCATTTGGGGGAAAATAACATTTTTACTGTGACATATATAACTACTTATTTTATTAACTTTGGTTCCATTTTATAAAAAGGAAATATTTTTAATTTAAAATCTCAATTTTGGCCATTATAAATTATATATTTTACAGCTTGCTTGAATCTTTTTACATTATTAAATTAGACCTATCCCCAAATTTTACCAACTTTTTAAAAACTTACTTACCAGTTTATAACAATGATACAACTAATGAAAATGACATATCTGTGTAATGATGTAAAAATCACCATAGGTTCAAGAATAATGTAGTTGTTTCACATCTGAAATTGAAATATATTGTAAGTTTGATAGTCACTTTCCTTTGTAGTTGGAAAAAAGTAAAAGTAACAGCAGAGTACTGTTTTGGCATATTGTTTATTACATAACAATAACATTTCAATTAAAATTGCCTCTGAAATCTCAACCATGACTTCTCAAGACATAGGACTACACTCTGCCACCTGACACGAGCTTTGCAACTTAGACAATGGTTAACTTTCTGAAAACCCTAAAGATTTCTTTCTGGTTTTAGTACTATTAGAAGTAGCTACACTTTACCTAGGCAACTGATTTGCTTTATGGACATTACTAAAATGTTGAGGCTTCTCCTTTGCATTAGCTACTAGAAAACGGAAAGGCAAATCTGCAACACATCCTCAGCAGGCTGTTGGACTTTATAGAGGTATAGAAGTCTTTCTTATATTAGCCTTACTTGTGGCTCTATTTCATATACTAAACTTTGCTTTCCTCTTCCTCATCCTGCTCATCCCCTTCTGATATATATAACCTTCTTCTATTCTGTATCTTTTTTCTAATTGTCCCCAAAATATTTTTGAAAAAAAAGAGAAGTTCCAATGAAATATACCATGTGTATGTATTGATACACATACATGAATACAATGCGCACGTGGGCACACACATGAACTAAAAGCACTCCACCTTCCATGCGTATGTATTGATACACATACATGAACACAATGCGCACGTGGGCACACACGTGAACTAAAAGCACTCCACTTTCCACGCGTATGTATTGATACACATACATGAATACAATGTGCACGTGGGCACACACGTGAACTAAAAGCACGCCACCTTCCATGCGTATGTATTGATACACATACATGAACACATTGCGCACGTGGGCACACACGTGAACTAAAAGCACTCCACCTTCCATGCGTATGTATTGATACACATACATGAATACAATGCGCACGTGGGCACACACGTGAACTAAAAGCACTCCACCTTCCATTCTTTCTTCATGATGAAAGGGGGACTGTGCTTCCTGGACTGTTGCATTTACATGTTGTACTGGCAGAACTATTAATAGTTCCCCTTTTACTCTTACCCCAGTTTCAGACATTCTCTTCCCTCCTTTTTCTCTGTTTGCCAGTTGAAAACATGAATTAATCAATGTCTTACAATGAAACAGGATGTTTCAAATTTTTATATTAAAATTGAATTCCAGTATTTAAAATGTTATACTTTCCTTTTTAATATTCATTTACTAGCCCCAAACTAAATCTAACTTTATTTGTACAATGCTTCTTAGTATATTAGTACACAATCTATATTAACACAACTCTAAGACAAAATTTCAACGATTATCAAATTTTATGATGTATAACCTACTAATTTTGTTGAATGGATTTTCCTTCAAAATAAGTTGTGTAGTTAAAAATTGTAATATCATGTATTTTCAAATTATATACATCTTAAAAACTTCCATTTTCATTTTTAACTCGATTATAAAAAATGGTCATAATAAAATTATATACTTTATCCAGTTTGTTGGAGAAAAAGAATTAAAAGCCAAATAACTAGGTCTTCTCTTTCACTTCGATATAAAATTCCTCTTGATAACACTGAATAGAATTCTACTTACAACAATACTTAGCAGAAAAAATTTTCCGTAGTATTACCAGAAATGTTTAGAAGCGAACAGCATGTCAATAATGTAACTTCCATGTGATTAGGATATTCTTTGCATTTTGATAATCTGGCACAGAAAAGTCTTCAGTAGAAGAAAAGAGAAATAGCCAAAAAGAAACAGCTGACTTAAATTATGATAATTACTGCTGAATGAAATGAATTACCTAAAACAGTGGAATGGGTCATCAATAGACCTGACTGTGATTGAGATATACGTCATCAGGGAACAGTACAACAGTGATTAGACAATGCAGAACAATTAATCCTTCTCAGTTATATGACCCGCTGTCCTTACCCTTCTGTGTCATCTATTTTCCCCAACAAACTTCCATGCCTCCCATTTACTTCTTCTTGGTTTAAATTTTTCTATTTAGAAATTACACATATAAGAAATTATTTTAAAATATGTGTAGTGTGAAGAACAAGACAAACACCAGTTAAATCACCTCCTATGTTAGGAAAGAAAGCAGAAACCAACTCTGACAAAAGCCCCTAGAATGTGCCCATCCTGGTGGCACTCACCCCCACAGCTGGTTACCACTGTCCTTAATTTTGTGTTCACCATTTCCCCTTCTGTGTCTTCACGCTATTGGCCCCTATGTATGCCTATCCCTTAAAAACATGCTGTGCAGTGTTGTCTGTTTTTGAAGTTTACAGAAATGGAATCATACTGCATGTATTCTTTTGTAATTTGATTACTTTCTTAATATTATGTATCTGAAATTAACCCATATTGATGTGTGAGGCTATAGTTTATTTTTACTGTAGTATAATAGTCTGTTATAGAAATATATGACTATCCATTCTACTGTGAATGATCACTATTATGGTGGCACCAGCCTAATTTTTTTCACAACTTGAACATTATTTTTATTTTTTACAGTTAATGTTTTAATTTTAAACACATATTTATCAAGTCTTTGCTCATTATTCGTTCTTGTATTTCAGAACTTTCACTTGAGATCATTTTTTTCTGCCTGACGTTAGCCACTGAGAACTTCTTTTCTCTCAGATTGTATTTGTCTACAAAAGTCTTTATTTGAATCTCCCTCCTCCTTGAAAGGTAAATAAATCTAGGCTGAGAGTTACTGTCTCTTAACACACACTGAAGCTATTATTTCAGTTTTGCAGTATTCCAGTATTGCAGTTCAGAAGTCAGTTTGTGAGTCTAACTACCACATCTGTATACACGATGTCTCATAAAAAATCTATTGGCAACACTTAAGATCTTCTCTTTCCCCTTAGTAAATACTGCAGTTTTTAAACAATACAGCTAAATGTGGATATCATGTTAAATTTGGTCTGCAATGGGCTTCCTGGAATGAGTATTAGTACCTTTCAATAATTTCAGAAAGTTTTTAGCCAGTATCTCTATAAATGTTGATTGTTCCTCATTTCCTCCATTACATCCCTCCAGAACTCTAGACATGCAGGTCTGTGAGCGACCTTGTATCTGGAATATATATAGAGCTCTATAACACTTCAGTAATACTGAAATAAACTAACTCCATAAAAAAATGGGCAAAGGATTTGAATACTTTGTGAAAGAAGTTATAATTGGTCAGTAAGCACATTAAAATATGCTTGTATCAGGGAAATGCAAATTTCAACCACCATGAGATGCTAGTATAAATCGAGCGGAATGACTCGAACTTTTAAAAACTGACAATACCAGGTGTTGGAGAGAAAGTGGAAAATTTGGAACTCTCATAGATTGCAGCTGGAAATGTAAAACAGTCACTTTGGATAATAGTTTTGCCATTTCTAATAAAGTTAAACATACACTTATCACATAGCCTAGCAATTCCACTCCTAGGTAGTTCTCAAAACGTATGCCTACACCTGTACATGAAAGGATATTGTAGTTTTGCCATAATTGCCTCCTGATGGAAAACACTAGCCAGGCGTGGTGGCTCACACCTGTAGTCCCAGCACTTTGGGAGGCTGAGGTGGGTAGTCTGCCTGAGCCCAGGAGTTCGAGACCAGCCTGGGTCCCAGCACTTTGGGAGGCTGAGGTGGGTAGATCGCCTGAGCCCTGGAGTTCGAGACCAGCCTGGGCAACATGAAGAAACCCCGACTCTACCAAAAAAAAAATTCAAAAATTAGCCAGGCGTGGTGGCATCCACTTGTAGTCCCAGCTACTCGAGAGGCTGAATTGGGAGGATTGCTTGAGCCCAGGAGGTTGAGGCTGTAGTGAGCTGAGATTGTACTATTGCACTCCATCCTGGTTAACAGGGTGAGACCCTATCTCCCCACTAAAAAAAAACCACCCCAAATATCCCTCCAGTAGATTAATGAATTTTTTAATTTGTGGTATATCCACACAATGAAATACTACTCAGCAATGAAAACAAATGAACTACCAATATACATAGCAAATGAATCACAAAACATGCTAACCAAGAAAAGATTATCATGGAAAATAATATGTTTCCATTCAAATAAAATTCTAAAACAGGCAAAGCTAATCACAGTGACCGTAGGCAAATCAATGATGGAAGGGAGCAGAAGGCAGTACAAAGGAGTACAAAGAACTTTTGGGGTGATAAAAACTTCCTGTAATCTTAATTGAGATGGTGGTTGCACAGGTCATTAGTTTACAGAGGAAGGAAAGAAAATGACTTCCTCAAGGAAACACAGCTGGTTAACAGCAGAGCTATTAGTCTGGTTTTATTAACGATTTCAAGCTTTTTGTTAGAATGACTAACTAGCTGCAGGAAAAAAAGCCTACATTCACCTAGCACTCAACAAATATCATTGAAGACTGTTGAGTGAATGTCACATGCCAGTCACTAGTTCTAGGTGTTTGGGATACCCCATATCCAAAAGAGATCCTTACTCCATACAGAGGTTGCAGGGTCAGAGGGCACACAAGTAACGGTACTGCTAATAAATAATTTAACTATATGGAATGCTGTAAGGGCCCCTAAAATATCTCCCAAAAGAGTTTTTGATTTTCAAGTTTAAATCCCAAAGCAAAAGGCAGACTTACTATGGAGTGAAACATAAGATAATAAGGTAAAGTAGATCCTTACCTACCACATAAAAAGGGAACTACAGATGGATTGCAGACCTATCTGATAATGATAAAACTATACAATTAGTAAAAGAAAATGTAGGGAATATTCTGTGGCCTCCTTCAGGATAAGGTCTTCTTAAAATAAAATTTCAAAAGCATAAGACATTAGGCAGAAGAGATTGAATACAATCATTTCAAAACTTAAAATTTCTGTTCAAGAAATAAAACTATGGAAAAAGTTAAATAAACAGATGACAGAATGAGAAAAGAAGTTTACAAAGCATAAAACCTATAAGGGAATTAATGTTTAGAATAAAGAGCACCCCGTGTAAATCAACAGAAAAAGGTAACAATATCCCAGTGGAAAACAAGCAGAGAGTAACAGGGACTCACAGAAGAGGAAACCCAAAACCTTATAAGAACACCAAGAGCTGCCTAAACTCATTAACAGATAAAGAAATGCCAAGTTCAAACATCCAAGTGACAAAATGTGGGCAACTGAACAGCACTAAGCAAATGCAGATACGCAGGAAAATAAAACCCCTTGTGCACAGCGCTACCCAGCACGAAGACGGAGGTGGCCCTTCTTGAGAGCTCAGTCAGATTAGGCACCTGTGTGCATACCCTGAAATCAGGGAGGAATTTCTCTTTCTGGACAGACAGACCAACAAATTCCTTGTAGTGTCATCTGTGGTACTGAAAAGTCGGGCAAGTCATAGTAATTTATGGTGGAAGGAAACTGAAGACATCTTGAGTGTCCATAGCAAGGAAATAATTCAAAACGGGGAAAAAGTACAAAGAGATATGGAGCACAATGAAAAACTTGAAAACATTCAAGTTATTCTAGACTGTAACACTGGCAGCATGATGGTCAGAAGGCAGACAATACTACAGGGCTGCAGGAGGAGCCAAATGATATCACGGATGCAAAATGTAGTCCAGTGCCTCACACTTAATACTTAAATAAGTAGTTCCTGCTACTTAGCACACTTCACCCCCTCTAAGCTCTCGCCTCATTCTTCATTTGTATAACTGGAATATGTAGTGCTGTTATAAGAATTTAACAGATGACACATACAGGCACCGTGAAAGCAGAGTGGAAAAGCATGGCCTGCAAAGTCACACAGATCTGTTCTGCAACTGACTAGCTGCATAACTTTGGACAAGTCACTTACCCTCACTGCATCTCGATTTGCATATCTATGAAGTAAAATTAGTAAAGTCAACCCCATGCTGTTGTTTTGAGGGTAAATAAGATAACGTAAGTCATATAACAAATATTCATTCATCTTGTTTCTCCTCCTGCCCAGCTCATATTACAGTGCAGTCTCGCCAGATGAAACACTGTGCATTGTGCAACCACTACAGATAATAACTTACGGTGGCCAAGCAATGACATGGAAAAAGGTTGAATGATGCTGAGACAACAACCACATGTAGGAAAATGAATGGGAAAAAAAATCAAAATGAGTATCTGATTTGAATTCGGGTAGAGAAATTACAGAGGGTTATTTTTCTGTTTTCTATTTTCCAAGTATCTTGTAATATATTTATGTTACTTTTAGAAATAAAACAAAATATTTCATGGCAAACAAATATTTCAAAATTGCATGGAACAAAGAGCAATACACTTCAAAACCTACAACAGCATTGTTAGGGCTCCTTCATCACTGCAGCCATTTTAACTTTTCAGAATACATCCTGAAGCACTTGGTTCTTCCCAATTCCAACACGTGACCTGGGATAAATAATTTACCCTGATAGCCTCACATTCCCTACCTATAAGGTGGGGCTAATTTAAACTTCACAGTTGTTGTGAGGATGAAATGAGATAATGTGTTAGTTCCATGCAGATGATCATGTTTTGAAAACTTCAAAGTTTGCAAAGATACAAATCCATTAAAAAATGCCGGAAGGAAACATTTAATGGTTAAGAGCTTGGACTCCAATATCAGATGGATCTATATGAAAATTTTAGTTCTGCCACCAACTTTGGGCCATCCATTTTACCTTCCTAAGCTTTATCAACAAAAGGGGACTCATCACAACATAACTCACACAGTTGTTGTGAAAATTAAATAATTATATAAAGCACAGTGCTTTTCACAAAATAATGACTATTTAATGTTATCAATTATTATAACCCTCCTTCAAACCACTTCTACAGTTTACACAGCTGAATATTATTAAAGTTCCAATTACTACTCCTCACACTAAGATACAAAGATAGAAAATATATATACCCTACCCTCAAGGTGCTCACCATCAAAAGGAAGCAGAATGCTCTTCAAAGATCCTAAGAGACTAATAAATAATGAAATCAAATTATATATCTATATATATATTACTAAGGGAACAAAGAGAAAGGAAAATGGGCTTGAATAAGGAATGTCTCAAAAATCTCAAAGGAGATTTGAGTTGGATCCTAAAAGAATGGGTATGATTTTGTCCACTGATGAAGGAAAAATACAAAATGAAGAATCCATAAAGTGCTCAGGCAATTGAGAATAGTCTCATCAGGTGGAACACTGAGTAGGGAGACGCTGGGTATGAAAAGAAGAAACGTCAGGGTCTCACTGTAAAGAGCTTTGTACAAATGCCTTGCTCAGGTATTTGGACTTTATCAATAATGAGGAAATCAAAAGAGAATTTTAAGAGCATAACCAGACCTAAAATTTAGAAAAATAACTGACAGAATTAGGTTGACTTAAAGGTGTCAGGAGATAACACCAACACCTGAAGGAGGAGTCTGGGAAGGGCGTCCCAAGGCAGAGCATGGGAAACGCAGATCTGAGGGCCTGCGAGAGCCCAGCCGGAGCCTAAGGAGAGTGGGGAGTTGCAGGAGGGTGTGCAGAAGAGGCAGGGCGAGACAGCAACACCTATGCATGGGAATGTGGACTTCACGGGCAGCAGGAAAACGTTTGCAACAGTGGACCAATCTGATGATGTTGTTGAAAAGCATCTCTAACACCAACGATGGGAAGAAACAGAGACTAGCAAAGCTAGGGGCTGGAAAAACAGGCAAGAAAGTCATAAGGATGAAAACCCAGGCCAGAACAGAGAAGAGCAGACAGACTCGAGTCAATCCAGCTGCGGTGGAAAAAAATGACTGTGTTTTACTTTTACCATTTCTACATTCAAAAAATATTTGCTATTCCCCTCTCGCTACAGGATAAAAATTTCAATGCTAGCATTAAAGACCCTGCTGGTCTAACTCTTTCTGCCTTTTTATCCACTTTCCCTTAAGCCCTACAGTCCCTCTGCTTGATCCAGACAGTCTATGCTTTGACTCGCCTCTCTGCCTTGTCGAATCCCATCGAAATATCAAGGCCTGACTATTTCTGTACCCTTCACAAGGCATCCCAAGCATTCTCACAGTGACTGTCCCCTCAAATAAGGTCTATAGTGTTGTAAACTGATAGACTCCAATCTGTGGTACTGACCCTCTCCTGTTATTTGGTACTACCGCCTTATTATTTTATGTGCCTTGTATGTTTTTCTTCATAGACATGCAAAGAAATGTGAAATACATGAAAACAGCTAGACAACAACCCAAGGCAAGGTGAATGTCCTAAGAATTTGGCATGCTGGAAAAAACTCACTGTGGACTCTACTTATTCAGAATCAGTTACTTCTTCTGTAAGGCCATTATTGTATACAATAATAACAGTATACCTGCCAATCTGGTTTCATAATAAGATATGTAAGAAACAATCAATATAGATGGAAATGAGAATACAACAGGCAATTCTGTGGAGAATCCTTGGGATTACATAAACAGTATAATACTAATCAGTTGTTTTTTAATGAACTTATTTCCAAAGAAGTAACTTAGGCAATGGCTATTCTCTTCCTCTCCAATAATTCCAGTGAAGGAAGAGAAATTGACAGTGAGACATAGCAAAATTTAACTTACATAAATAAACAGTTCCTGGAAAGTGTTTTCAAAAAGTTAAAGAAATAATGTGTACCTAGTTGAAATTTCACACGCAACCTGCACGTGATGAGGACTTACAGTTTGCGTTTATGTATATCTGTAGCGACAGGAAGAACTCCAGGAGAACTCAGAAATGTCAATGCCAAACATGTCACAAGAGGTCAGAGGTCACATTTTCTAACTGGGGTCTGACCGTAAAGTAAGCAACGCAAGTAATTAATTGATGCCCTAACCTGAAACATTCACTTGAGTGGGACTAGTCTACCAATCCAATGCTAGTTTAATCATACTACTCACAGTGTAATCACCACTAGAAACACAAAATTAAAGTTGCCCAAGACAGGAAGGAAACATATAGGTCCAATACTTCAATTGCTTTTTCTAGTAGTCCATAATTAACAAGCCAACCTCCCTCAATCACACACTCTAGCCAACAATGCCAGTAGAGACTAGTATAAAATCTGTACTTATTTCAACAGTATGTCTTTAAACTATCTTATAACCATTACTTAAAATAATTATAAACCTCTAAAGCCAAGTCATAATAGTCCAAATCAGATGTGACTAATTTGTTTGGATTAAAGAAGAAAAGGAAGTGATATATGTAACTTGTTTTTAATGGATACTAAAATAGACACGGCATCTAGAGAAATAACATGACAATGAGTTATGAATCATACTGGGAAATTTTTTTTTTTTTTTTTTTGAGACAGGGTCTCACTCTGTTGCCCAGGCCGGAGCACAGTGGAACAATCATGGCTCACCGTAACTCAACCTTCCAGGCTCAAGCCATCCTCCCTCCTCAGCCTCCTGAGTAGCTGGGACTACAGGCATACACCACCACACCCGGCTAATTTTGTGGTTTTTTTTTTTGTAGAGATGGGGTCTCATTATGTTGCCCAGGCTGGTTTTGAAGCTCCTGAGCTCAAGCGATCCACCTGCCTCAGCCTCCCAAAGTGCCGGGATTACAGGTGTGAACCACAGCACATGGTCTCATACTGGGAAAGTCAGTGATTCAAAGTTTAAATTTCACTTGTCACTGATTTTGTTGTTACATGATTCTTCATCCTTTACTTCTTGATTTATAATGTGTAAAACGAGGGCTAACATCTTAAGCATAAAAATATTTTATAAATATTTAATATTACTGTTAAATAACTTTCAAAAGTTTATTATGATACCTATTCAAATTACACAAAACTGATTAATTCATATGTGCTAGCTATAATTTAGCATTTACAGACATTTAAACTGAAAAGAGAAGCTGCTATTGCCTGTGCTTATCTTCACACATAACCCTCAACTTACTACGGCATTTTCTTCTTCATGATAAAATGACTAATTTGTTTCCATTTTACAATGATTAAACATCACAAAATATCCTCCAGTTTCTAAAAATGTAAAATGTTTTCGCTGATAGGCCAAAATTTATTTGTGCTTATTTAGCTCCCAAATGAGGTCATCCATAGAATTTCATATTATCATTAAATCAAATTTATAAATATAGCTTTAAATCAGAGGGGCAGTTTCATCGTTAATCAAAAATCAGACTTAACCACATATACATATTTTGATTTCAGACTGACCCTTTTAATATTTTCCATGCCAAAATGTTGGAGCTTGTTAAAGAAGTTTATCTTGGGTATGGTTTTTTTTTTTTTTTTGAGACGGAGTCCCGCTGTTTAGCCCAGGCCGGATTGCAGTGGCGCAATCTCGGCTCACTGCAAGCTCCGCCTCCCGGGTTCACCCCATTCTCCTGCCTCAGCCTCCCGAGTAGCTGGGACTACAGGCGCCCGCCACCGCGCCCGGCTAATTTTTTGTATTTTTAGTAGAGACGGGGTTTCACCGTGTTAGCCAAGATGGTCTCGATCTCCTGACCTTGTGATCCGCCCGCCTCGGCCTCCCAAAGTGCTGAGATTACAGGCGTGAGCCACCGCGCCCAGCCATGGTTTTTAAATATCTGAAATATTCAAAACATCTTAGCAGTGATTATCTAACTTACAGTACCTTCCCTACTACCTTCTTGGATATAAGACTTGCAGGGTTTTTTTGTTTCGTTTTGTTTTTGTTTTGAGACAGGTTCTCACTCTGTCTCCCAGGCTGGAGTGCAGTGGCACAATCACAGCTCACTGCAGCCTTGATCTCCTGGGCTCAAGCGATCCTCCCTCAGCCTCCCAAGAAGCTGAGACTACAGGCACGCACCACCATGCTTGGCTAATTTTTCAGATTTTTTGTAGAGATAGGGTCTCAATATGTTGCTCAGGCTGTTCTCAAACTCCTACTCTCAAGCGATCCCCCAATCTCAGCCTCCAAAAATGCTGGCATTTCAGGCAGGAGCCAACATCAGCAGTTTTTTAAAAAGGAAAATTAAAAGAATGTGGGGAAAAAAAGACTCGGAACTCTCTTTCTTGGGGAGATATTGTGACAACTAATGATTACTGCTATGAACTCCGCCAAGTTAAATACCATCACAATTAGATGGAACAAACATTCAGAACAGATAAGTTCTCCTATTTTGTTACAGAGATGAGAATTATTAGTCCCTAAGAATTCAATTAATTATGAGGATCTGAGACTTAAATCCTTCAAATGGCCACAAATTCTACTTGTGGGATTTCTTTTTTTTTTTTTTTTTTTTTTTTTTTTTTTTTTTTTGAGAGAGTCCTGCTCTGTTCCCCAGTCTGAGTGCAGTGGCCCGATCTCAGCTCAGCTCACCACAACCTCCGTCTCCCAGATTCAAGTGATTCTCCTGCCTCAGCCTCCCAAGTAGCTGGGACTACAGGCGTGCGCCACCATGCCTAGCTAATTTTTGTATTTTTAGTAGGGACAGGGTTTCACTATGTTGGCCAGGCTAGTCTCGAACTCCTGACCTCGTGATCTGCCTGCCTCGGTCTCCCTAAGTGCTGGGATTACAGGCGTGAGCCATGGCGCCCGGCCGGAATTTCTTTTTTAAACTGCAACCCAAGTCTTGCTATGTTAAGAATCCTGGCCTGGCGCGGTGGCTCACACCTCTAGTCCCAGCACTTTGGGAGGCCGAGGCGGGCAGATCAGAAGGTCAGGAGATTGAGACCATCCCGGCTAACACAGTGAAACCCCGTCTCTACTAAAAATACAAAAAAAATTAGCCAGGCATCCTGGTGGGCGCCTGTAGTCCTAGCTACTCTGGAGGCTGAGGCAGGAGAATGGTGTGAACCCGGGAGGCGGAGCTTGCAGTGAGCCGAGATCGCTCCACTGCACTCCAACCTGGGCGAAAGAGCCAGACTCCGTCTCAAAAGAAAAAAAAAAAAAAAGAATCCTGTGTTTGAAGATGATACTGCCATTTATTCTGATGTGTCCAGTGTAGTACACAACATGGAGAACACTCCTTTGATTTACCTCTGTCAGAAGGAATTATTTGCTTTTGGCTCCACTTTTAAACTTCAGAAAATAGCCTGTGCCTTTAGCAACCGTCTTTTTTTTTGTTTTTTTGTTTTTTTGTTTTTTTGAGACGGAGTTTCACTCGTTGACCAGGCTGGAGTGCAATTGCGCAATCTTGACTGACTGCAACCTCCGCCTCCCGGGTTCAAGTGACTCTCCTGCCTCAGCCTCCCCAGTAGCTGGGAGCACAGGTGCCTGCCACCAAGCCCAGCTAATTTTTTGTATTTTTAGTAGAGACAGGGTTTCACTATGTTGGCAAGGCTGGTCTCGAACCCCTGACCTCAGGCAATCCACCCACCTCAGCCTCCCAAAGTGCTGGGATTATAGGCACAAGCCACTGTGCCCACCCCGCGCCCCCACCCCCACCACGCTTTTTTTTTTTTTTTTAAAGAAAAACCACAAGATTGTTGTGAGATGGGATGATTATGACGGTAACATAGTTTTTAAATCTCCCCAAACCTACTAGATAGAGTTACTGGAAGAATACCAAATAAAGCAAAATGCCTTTGGACAACATACACAGTACAACAAAATTAGGTCATGCGAACTCCTATGTATCCCAAAATTTGAGCAGGTGAGAACAAATCTCTGAGAGCTACAATCCTGATTGGTATCGAGACCCTTACAGAAGACAGAGAGGCACAACAGATACTAATGGAACAGAGAGTATAGGAGGGTAAAATGCCCAACAAAGACTCGCTGGAAAGCACAGTAGGCCCACTTGATAATAGCACTGAAACTGGTCAGGATTTTACACACTCCCATTTGCAGATGACTCATGGTAATTCATGAATTTGTGGTAAATTCTTAAGGAGCTAGAGCTTAATGGGGCCTACAAACACTCAAAATTAAGCAGTCACAGTTCCTTTCCAGGACAAAGCCCGGTATTACAGAGAAAGGCTACGAATAAAAGTAACAACTACTACCGCAGTCAGTTGAAAAGACCCTAAGTATAAGAAAAGGTGATTCCACAAAAAAAAACGGGGAAAAGATGGAGAAAAACCCAGGAAATCTCAGGAAAAATTAGGCTCTATTTTTACCACTTCATAAACATGGCATAGGGAGAACTTTAGAGCCATAAATCTGGAAAGAGTATTCAGAACCACTCTGCCCTGCCACAAGTTTAGGGAAAGTGATTTCACGTAAGAATGACCAACAGAGAGGACTATGGCACACGCAGCAGAATGACACCCTGATGGTCAGAAATGTGCCAGAAAGACAAGCCGACAAAACAGAAGGAAGCTAGAATCTACGGTCTCAACACATGAGAAAAGACATGAAGAAAATGATATAAGGTAAACAAGCTATAAATCAGAAGAAAAAGTCAGAATTCTGAGTTAAACATTTGAAGTAAATGGAAAAAAAATCACTTCAGAAATGAAGTCTAAATTAGAGGGTACACAAAAATGAATATACACCAGATAATGTTACATAAAAAGAGGTTGCAGTGAAGGAAAAATACTAAAAATCAAAAAGAAAAAAGATGAAAAGAATTAAAAAGTACAAATACAGAAGACAGGAAAAGAAGATCCAACATACTAAGAGAGGCTCCAAACTAAATAAGGATGTGTGTAGATAAGAAAATAATAACATAATCATAACTATACATGGTATATAGAATATTTAAGATTTTCTTATTCTAATAGCTGTGTATTTAATGTTGCATAAAATAACTGACTACACGAGATTCTAAAATTTTATCACAGATGATGTCCCTGAGAACCATGATTCTCACCATGTCAGAAAGTAGATAAAGATTTTAGATAGAAGAGTTAAGTAAATAAAACCCAGTAGCCACAAAGTTCAATGGAAAATATCAGCATGAACTCAGGAGGTGTTTTTATCTTTTAAAAGTATATGCATTTCATAACTCTGTCCAAAGGCCTAGAAAGACAGACCCACCAGTAGCAACACTGAGTAGCCAGGAGGTGCTCTTAAAATACATTTTAAAACTAAAAGAAACCAGAGCACCTGGGAGAAATCAATGGTTCCAGGCCTGGGGCAGGATATGTACAAGAAGATCCTGAAACATCTTGTTCATAACAAGCAGAAAGTAGTTCAGGAGCCAGCACTGCACAGGCTCCAACTGGTCAAAGATAGCATCAATAAGGGGTATGTCGAAAATGGACTGAAATATATGAAATGTAATTAAATGCATGAATTCCAAAGGGCAATTTGTTTTTAAATCTAATTGGTTACCATTAAAGGATCCTATTTTTAAAACTGCTAAATACATAAAGAGAATGAATTATTCTACTTTTCCCATATGAACCATACCACATGGTAACCAAATAGCAGAGGATGGGAAGCTATGTCCTTATAGAAGCAGTCCAGTTAGAAAAGGAAAGATAGATTGGATGATTATCATTTGGCAGTCCTTAATGAGTTCCTGGATCTAGCGTCAATTGCTATGTACATCACAAAATGAGAAACAACTGACATCATGTGTGTCCTGATGGTAGAACATACCACTCCCAGGGAATAGTCTTGCCCCCTCCCCCAAGCCACCAGATGCAGCTATCAATCTCCATGAAATAAAAAGGACTGAGCAACAGGTTAAACTAGACTACAGGGATGCAATCAGCAAAAGCCGGACTATGGAAAAATCACAACCAATGGCCAGGTTTCTTCAATCAGTTCCAAAAAAAAAAAAAAACCAACAACAAAAAAGAAGAGAAACCTAGAGATTAAAAGAACAAAAGCAAGCACAACTAAACCATTATACAGAAGTAAACTAGAGTGTTTAGGGTGTACCAGGCTAAGAGCCAGTCACCCCAAAGCCCACAACTTTTAATGCTTGACAAAAACCGTGTAGCTTTTTTTATAATGGCGTCACTCATCAGTCAAAATAAGAAATGAAACTTAATGACTAACATGCATTCTTGACAGTAACCCTACTACAGCCTTCAGTACCTTAAGATATCTGCAAAGTTTAAAAGATTATCTTTATGTTCGGACTTGACTAAGCAGAGCGACTTGATTGAAAATGAATCTAAGGCTTGAAAAGTATTTACCTACCGAGAGTACAGAATAGGAGTATTAGGCTTTAGAGCAAAAGATCTGACTTCCTGCCATAATGCAATGCTACTTCCTAACTTACCTTAGGCAAGTTTAATAAACAAGGAAATTAATATTAGCCAAGAAGCAAAGGCACTGGCCGGGTTAGGCAATTTTCTAGACAGTTCTTTCTTGGAGCTGTCTAGCAGGGAAACAATGACAAATGTGATTAATGTTATGAAGGAAGTACAGGATGCTCTGATGTGAGCTACATAATAAAAATAAACATGGCATACCTCTCAGATGAGATGAGGAAGAGGAAACACTTGGGACCCAGTCTTAAGCACTTAACCTCTGATTCTTTCTTTTTCTTTTTCATCTTTAGATGAGACTAATAAAAACCAAGACTATCTGGTAGGTAAATAAATTTATTCATATTTAATTGTAAAACTATGGACCTTACAACATGAAGAAAAATAAGCCTTGGCATCAGTTAAGGCTATGCTGATGAAGAAAGGAGAGAAAAGAATGCTTATCAATAATACATAATGCAAAATGAGATGCAGGCAATCCTGTTAATCTCCATGTCTTTTACTACAGTTTAACATGTGTATACATGTACACACACGTGTTGTAATAATCCAACAGGTATCTGCCACCCATTACTGTGGGAGTTAATTATCTTACTCCCAGATTAGAAGGTGGTCACAATCTAACAGCAACATTCACACTGGGAGATTCTGATAGCTGCTTAGAGAAATGTCCCTAAAGCTTCTAGAGAAACATGCTACAGATGAACAAAGGTCATCTGAAAAACTGAAACGGCTGTCATGTTTACATGATTTTAATTTAAAAAGCTGAATCCAAAGAAAACCTTATTTTATTTAAACATTCTTCTCTAAGCAATTTTTATGTAAAGGATGGTTTTTTAAAAATCTCAACCATAAGAAAATACTGTTTTGTACTCTGAGTTTTTTTAAAATGTTTTACATCAACATCATTTGCATGTAGTTATCATACCCCAAATTATGTGCTTTATTTAAAAGCATAATAATTAAAATAATGTACTATTTATTTTATTCTTATTGTTCACATAGTATTATCTTTTTTTTCTTCTACTATCTTATAGGAGCAAGGAGTTGTACATAGCTTTAAAATACCACAAAGGCGAGTACAGAATTGGAGCCACATATATCCTCACCCCTTCTCTATCTCCTTTTTTCTTCCCTCTTAAGTAGCCTTTGGGTTTCTTTGTTGGTTTGTTGTGAGACAGGGGTCTCACTGTTACCCAGGTTGGAGTGCAGTGGCCTTTCCTCGGCTCACTGCAACCTCTGCCTCCCAGGCTCAAGTGATTCTCCCACCTCAGCCTCCTGAGTGGTTGGGACCACAGGTGTGCACCACCACACCAGGCTAATTTTTGTATCTTTGGCAGAGACAGGGTTTCACCATGTTGGCCAGGCTGGTCTCAAACTCCTGAGCTCAGGCGATCCACCAGCCTTGGCCTGCTGAAGTGCTGGGATTACAGGCGTGAGCCACTGAGCCCATCGTTAAGTAGCCTTTGTAATCTTCTTCACCAGCATACAGGGAAAGGACAAAAATACATGGAACTCAATATATTACTTATTAATAAAGGCCAAAAAAAGCATTTATTTAAGTGAGTTTTGTAAATTACTCCCATTCTCCATTTCTACCCATAGCATCTAAAGAATGTGAAAAGTATCAAGAAATTTTCTCTAAATTATTTTTAAAATTCCAAACACTTAAAAAAGATAAATTTAGCTTTATATCTTTAAGAATACCCAGAGAAACAAAACAAAACCAAGTTCCTAATTGAAGACTCCCTTATAATTAGCATACAACATGTAAATAGAAGCTTCATAAGGTACTTTGATTTTTTTTTTTGGTATCCTGAATCTGTCTACCCATATAAATAGCATGAGAAACTAGGGGATGGGGGTGGACAATTTTCTTCTTTAAAACTGAATGTTTATTTAACATGATTTCTAAAATACAGAAGGAAATTGTTAAAAATTCTGTTAGTGGGCTATAAAGTAGTAAGATGTTTCTTACTACACATACCATGCCTATCCTATGTTAAAATTAGTAATAAACAGTAGACTGTTTTTAGATAGCTTCGCTACATAAAAGTGATTCACTAAAGGTGTTTTTAATAAAAGAATCTCTGGCCAGGTGCAGTGGCTCACGCCTGTAAATCCCAGCACTTTGGGACGCCAAGGCGGGCGAATCACGAGGTCAGGAGTTTGAGATCAGCCTGGCCAACATGGTGAAACCCTCTCTCTACTAAAAATACAAAAAATTAGCTGGGCGTGGTGGCGGGTGCCTGTAATCCCAGCTACTTGGGAGGCTGAGGCTGGAGAATCACTTGAACCCGGGAAGCGGAGGTTGCCATGAGCTGAGATCGGGTCACCACACTCCAGCCTGGGCAACAGAATGAGACTCCGTCTCAAAATAAATAAATCAATAAATAGAGTTAAAAATTTGGTTAACTAAAAAACTATTATAAATAGTATATAGTGATATTTTCCTTATCTAATTTTTCTATGAAACTTCTAAACACAAGTTGTTTGTGTATGTTTCTGTGTTTGTTTTTCTAATAATACTCCTGCAAAGCAAAAAGTGTCTTCAGTTCTTTGTAATATATGTTGATTAGCATAACAGATAAAATTTTTTTTGGCCTTTCCCCCAAAGTCTTCTACGACATTTTACAGAGATATTTGTGTTTAAATTTACTTACTTTGTAATACGGTCAATGTTGGCAATCTGCTTCTGGTTCCGTATAATCTCAATGGCTGCCCAAAGATGCTGGATAGCTTTTGTATCCGCCTGTCGTCTTTTTGTTAAACGTGCCATGACCTGTTTACTTCTTTAGCTGCAGTAATAAACAAAAACATAAGGGAAAAAAACAGATTACAAAATGAATTATCAGTATAAGTGAGTAACATTATCAGGACCTCTCAACTATTGATTATACTTAGTATGTAGTATTGCCCACTTTCTATTTTTTTCTACCATCCACATCACCAGTTACTTCATATAAAGTATCATTCATTTCATTACATCATGAAGAATGACATTCTAAAAGCCAAAAAGTTAAAAAGGTTATCCCAGGAAGGATAAGTGGTCACTTCATACCAATATACTTTCAGAAAATGCATTTAAGTTTATTCTAAAACACAGAAATACTCCAAGATAAAACTTCATTTGTTGACATCGCGTTGTTTGTAATTTGATCAATACAAAATGGAATTTAAATATTCTAATTGGCACTTTAGTTTATTATAATCATGGCTTAAAAATCAAATTTTATATACATACATAGATATATGAAAACAATATTATTTTAAATCAAACCATGAACATTAAATATAAGAAAGTTACTCCTGGAATGAGATGTGAAAGGTTGAGGGACAGAACACTAGAAGGTCACAAATTATGAAGAATGGTAACATTCTTGGATTAGGTGTAAGTTTTGGGGGTATTTATTACACTATTAGGAAACAGCATTGTTATTTTACTCAAATTTTAGTATTCCAGATGAATTGAAGAAAACTGCCACCACACCTCCCACCTCCCAATAATTTTCCTGCTGTCTCCTGGCAAGATGGGGAAAGAAAAGAGGTTAAACCCTGGATGTCCGGAGAGCAGTGGTATCACAGAGAGGATTCTCTTAACTCAGCATGGAGAGACGTGCTTGTAGGAATCTGGTAAGCGTTTGTCATGAATCCTAGCATTGGGGACGCACTGAAACATCTCTCTAGATCATACATGTTATCATGCTGAGTTTAAAATCTAGGTTCTTAAATATACAGTGAACATTAAGCCTTCTGAGATTGCTGAAATCTCCTTGACCTGCCCTTTCCTATCTTTTAAGTTTAGAGAATGAGGGAGGGAAGCACTTTGCTGTGTTCCATGACTGGCCAAGACAGCCACAGGAATCTCCTTTTTCTCTACCTCTGTGTTTCTTCACAGCCTACTCAGTTCCCCTCCTTTCTCAGGCAAACACAAATAAACTATATAGTTGCTATCAAAACCTGAGAAAACTGGGTCAGTCAGGCTCCTAAAATAAGATGTCTTTCAGAATTACACCACCATCAGAATACATTTTGAACATGTTTAAAGGTATTCCTGAATATTCTCACACTATTACTTCTAATAGTTCCAAGCTGCTCCACAGAGCAAATAATTCAAAAACAATACCAGTATTCAAGTTCTAAAGAAAACTTTAGGAAAATCAGTTAGTTCTGTATAAATTTATACATAATGAAAATATAAAAATTATAACTTAGGAACACTTCCATTTTAGACAGTAATCACTTTTAAATGTACAAAAATTTATCTGTTTAAGTGCACTTGTGTTGGAGCACCAACTTTCAGAATCCAATATGCCTTAATGGAAGGAATTCATTGGTAAGGATTTAACATATGTCAGAAAGTGACATCTAATGGTGAACTGTAATAATACAACTCAATCCTGTGAGATTATATAAATACTCAGATAAATGAACAAAGTTTCACTCATTCTTACATAGTTAAAAATATATACAGGTGTCCACTTTATCTAAGGCACTGTGCTAGACACAATGAAGTAGTTAAAACTGTATAAACGGCGACCCTTGCCAAGAAAATAATCTAAAACTGGCAGAGGAAATTTGACATATACATGGAACTAACTGTAAGGTCATATATGACATATAAATGGTCCACAATATGTGCTATAAAAATTCAGACAAGGGAGACACTACTTCTCGCTGAGGTAAAATTTCAGCAGAAAGAGATGAGGAACTCTGCAAAATGGTAAATATGTAGGAAAATGTAAAAGCCAATTTTTCCCTTTCTTAATTTCTTTAAAAGATAATTGGCAGTTTAAAGCAAAGATAAAAATAATTGATAGATGTCATTAGGCTTATAACACACGTAGAAATAAAATATATAACAACCAAAGCACAAAGGAAGGGAAGTGGGAGTAAGCAGAAATATATTATTATAAATTTCCTATATTTTACGCAAGTAGTAGTATATTAATTCAAGGGAGGCTATTGTAAATTAAGGATGCATATTATAATTTCTAGAGCAAACACTGAAGAATAATACATATAGGTATAGGTAACAAGTCAACTTGTAAATTTTTTTTCACAATTCATGATATGTAAGAATATGAATAATTTGCTCAGAACTATAAAAAATACAGCAAAGCTGTAAAATGTAAAATGTTAAATTTAACAGCAAAGCTAACATTTTAAAATAATACCATAATAAATAGTAAATGTAACTATTTATATAACATAACCAGAAGAATGTAGTGGGGACTAAGTAGCAGAAACTCTAAAAGTGATGTCACAGATTCCCAGAAATGATTAAAATCAAGATTAAAGAATGAAGCAATGCTACATCTCAGAAAAACAGGTGTGAAGTTAAAAATCAAAGATTTTGAGAACTACCTGAATCAAGTCACAGAAAATAAACATACCTTGTAATACAGGTACACTATAAGGAGGATGATCATTAGTTATAAGAGCCCACGTAGAACATTGCAAAAAATGCCAGGGAAAGACAAATCCAAGTGAGAGAAATACAATGAAGTTTGAGGCATATTACAAAGGTACCAAAAACAACTTGACCCATGGAGGCAAGATCTCTTTAAAGTGCAACCATAAATTATCCTTTCTTATGAAATCTAAATTCATTCACTCATTTAACATATAATTCATATATGCGTGTTACACACCAGGTGCTCTTCTATGCTCTAGGGATATAGCAATAAGCAAAACGGACAAAAATCCTTCTCTCATCCAGTACATGACTAGTGATGTGACTAGATATAAGAAAAGAACAGCAATTTGAGTGTTCATCAATAAAAAGAAAGTCTTAGAATCCTGGGTACAGAGAGCTGATTACTTAAGGTCCTTGTTGATATGGCCAAACCAAATCTTACAGTCCATCCTTATCTGAGTGCACATTGCATTACTGCTCACAGTTCCCAATTATGCTCCCAAACTTCACACCTCCATCTCTTTGTTTATGCAGTTCTCTCTCCCTGGAATGTTCTCCCCTGCCCCTTACCAATTATTAAAAATTTCCCTATCCTTTCTAGGATCTACTTTAATGCAATTTTCCCTGACCAGGCTTTTCTCCTGGAATCAAACCAAATAAAACTCAATTGTCCTCTGTATTCTAATATCAATTTGTTTATACATCTCTTACAAATGTATTGCTTTTGTACAAAAGTATTTTGTACAAAATTCCTCAAAAGAATTGTTTTAATTCAACTAAGATACGTCTTATTCATTTTTATAACTCATGTTTTTCAAGGTGCCTAGCAATTTTGAACATACTAAACCTTCAATATAAAATTATTAAATTCACTTTTTTTCAGCTGTTATGTAAATAACAAGAGCCCAGAGTGAACCTTCATTTATGTTTTATCAAAGATTGAGACATCAAAAAGAAAGAACAGAAGACTCTTTGTAGAGATCATTAATACAGTCTTCAATCTTTGTTCTGCTCCAACACATTTGAGGAATATTACAGGCTCCTTTTGGTAAAAGTAGACCATGATTCTCAAGAAGCCTGTAGTTAAAAAAAAAAATAAAAAGTAGCAAAAACTTCTGAGTAACTTTAATAAGCCCCTAGGTGATACTGATATTCTCTATCCCAACAAATCCAGATGTACTGCAATCTCCTCAGTCTACAGAAGTGTCACTTTATATCCACACTACTTCTACACAAACTGGGGTGAGGGCAAAAGGGAGAATAAAGGAGAAAACACGTCAGAAAAAAACTTAAGAATAAGCAAAATTAAACAAGAAGTTGCTTGGTGATATATACATATTTGTGAAAACTGCTTTAAGGAAACGATAAACACAATAGTTAACAAGAACAGTTGAGGGTGCAGGGAAGAGAGATGGAGGAGCACAGTGTGAAAATTCAAAACACCAAATAGGTTCGATTTTTACTTCTGGTGGTAGGTTCAGGTTTTTTATCAGTATACTGCATAAAATGTTTTCAAATATTTGCATCAAATATTATTACTTTTCCCCAAAGTGTATTAGCACTTTTAAATTATTTTTCATTGTCTATTCATACCATTTTCCCATTTATATATTAATTTTTATATTAGGTTTATCCATACAATGCTTTTCTCTTTGCCTCTTAATAAACACTAAATACAATTTTACTGAAATCTAGCTATGTATTCCTTTATCATTGCTTTTGTGATCAGAAGTCCTTCTACACTCAAATCAGAAAAATACGCAATTATATTTTGTAGTTTTTTATTTTTGTTTTTTATTTTTTGAGGCGGAGTTTCGCTCTTGTCACCCAGGCTGGAGTGCAATGGTGTGATTTCGGCTCACTGCAACCTCCACCTCCCAGGTTCAAGTGATTCTCCTGCATCAGCCTCCCGTTGTAGCTAGGATTACAGGCGTGCGCCACCACAGCTGGGTAATTTTTGTATTTTTAGTAGAGATGGGGTTTCGCCATGTTGGCCAGGCTGGTCTTGAACTCCTGACCTCAGGTGATCCGCCCACCTAGGCCTCGCAAAGTGCTGGGGAGAATTACTTTTTTAAAATTATGATTAGTAAACTTTATTTTTTAGAGCAATTTTAAGTTCACAGCAAAATTGAGTGGAAAATACAGAGCTCCCACATACTCCCTGGCCCCACAAATGCACATGCACAGCCTCCCCTATTATCAACATCCCACACCAGAGCAATACATTTGTTAAAAATCAACAAACCTACACTGACATATCATTATGACCCAAGGTCCACAGTATACATTAGGGTTCACTCTTGGTGTTGTACATTCCATGGGTTCTGACCAACGTATGAATGACAAGCATGTGCCACTGTAGTGCCCATGGGTTCTGACCAACGTATGAATGACAAGCATGTGCCACTGTAGTGCCCATGGGTTCTGACCAATGTATGAATGACAAGCATGTGCCACTGTAGTGCCCATGGGTTCTGACCAATGTATGAATGACAAGCATGTGCCACTGTAGTGCCCATGGGTTCTGACCAATGTATGAATGACAAGCATGTGCCACTGTAGTGCCCGTGAGTTTTGACCAATGTATGAATGACAAGCATGTGCCACTGTAGTGCCCTTGGGTTTTGACCAATGTATGAATGACAAGCATGTGCCACTGTAGTACTCATGGGTTTTGACCAATGTATGAATGACAAGCACGTGCCACTGTAATGCCCATGGGTTTTGACTAATGTATGAATGACAAGCACGTGCCACTGTAGTACTCATGGGTTTTGACCAATGTATGAATGACAAGCATGTGCCACTGTAATGCCCATGGGTTTTGACTAATGTATGAATGACAAGCACGTGCCACTGTAGTGCACATGGGTTTTGACCAATGTATGAATGACAAGCATGTGCCACGGTAGTGCCCATACAGAATAGTTCCACTGAATTAAAAATTGTCTGTGCTCCACCTATTCATCCCTTCCTTCCCTAACCCTTGGCAACCACTGGTCTTTTTACTACTGTCTCCACAGTTTTGCCTTTTCCAAGATGTCACACAGTTGGAATCATACAGTATGTGGCCTTTTCAGGTTGGCCTCCTTCACTTAGTAATATGCATTAAGTTTCCTCCATAGCTTTTTATGGCATGATAGACTGTTACTTTTTAGTACTGAATAACATTCCACTGGCTGCATATAACACAGTTCATCCATTCACCTACTCGAGGAAAGGTTGCTTCTAAGTTTTGGCAATCAAAACAAAGCTGCTATAAACATCCATGTGCATGTTTTTATGTGCACATAAGTTTTCAATTCATAAGGGTAAATACCAAGGAGTGTAGCTGCTGGTTCGTACGGTTAGAAAATGTTCAGTTGTATAACAACCTGCCAAACTGTCTTCCCAAGTGACCGGACCATTTTGCACTTCCACCAGCAATGACTGAGCGCTTCTATTGTTCCACATCCTCATCAACATTTGGTATTGTCAGTGTTTTGGATCTGAGCCATTCTTATAAGTATGTGGTAATACCTCATTGATGTTTTAATTTTTAATTCCCTAATGATATATGATATTGAATGTATTTTCATATGTTTATGTGTCATCTGTATTTCTTTGGTGAGGTGTCCAGCCAGGTCTTTTGCCCTTAAAAAAATTTTTTTTTTAGTATTTTTGAAACAGGGTCTCACTCTGTCACCCAGTCTGAAGTGCAGTCAAAGCTAACTATAACCTCAAATTCCTGGGCTCAAGCGATCCTCCTTAGACTCTAGAGTAGCTAGGACTACAGGCATGCACCACCATGCCCTGCTCATGTTTTATTTGTTAATGTTTTGGAGAGGCAGGATTATGCTATGTTACCCAGGTTGGTCTCCAATTCTGGGCCTCAAGTGATCCTCCCACCTTTGCCCTTCTGTCCATTTCTAGAACATGTTCTTCATTTTCTTATTATTTAATGTTAGACGTTCTTTGTATGTTTTGCTTGATGGTCCTTTATCAGATGTGTCTTTTGCAAATATTTTCTCCCAGTCTGTAGCCTGTCATCACAATTTCTTGACATTATCTTTGACAGAACAAAAGTATTAAATTTTTCTTGACATTATCTTTGACAGAACAAAAGTATTAAATTTTAACGAAGTCCAGCTTATCAATTCTCTCCTTCATGGATCATGCCTTTGCTGTTGTACCTAAAATATTATCACCACACAAAAGGTAATCTAGGTTTCCTCCTATGCTATTGCCTAAGAGTTTTACAGTTTTGTATTTTACATTTAGGTCTCTGATCCATTTTCAGTTAATTTTTGTGAGGGATGTAAGGTCTTTGCCTAGATGATTCTTCTTTTTTTTTTTTTCTGAAAGTGGATGTCCATTTGTTCCAGCACCATTTCCTCAAGGGCTATTTTTTGCTCCAATGTATTGCCTCTGCTCCTTGGTAAAAGTTGAACTGACTGTATTTATGTGAGTATTTCTGGGTTCTCTATTCTGTTCCATCCATCTATTTGTCCTGTCACCAATGCCACATTGTCTTGGTCACTAAAGTTTACAGTAAGTCTTTAAGTCAGGTAGTATCAGTCCTCAGACTTTGTCCTTCAATAGTATGATGACTATTTTGGGTATTTTGTCTCTGCATATAAACTTTAGAATCAGTTTGTTGATATCCATGAAATAACTTGCTGGGATTCTGATTGAGACTACATGAATCCATACATAAAAGTGGGAAGAATGGACATCTTGACAATATTGTTTTCCTATCCATGAACATGGAATATCTCATCATTTATTTAATCTTTTATCTCTATCATCAGAGCTCTGCAGTCTTCCTGATATACATCTTGTCCACAATTTATTAGATTTCTACCTAAGCATTTCATTTCGGGGGTACTAATGTAAATGATAATATGCTTTCAATTTCACATTACACTTGTTCATTGCTGATAAATAGGAAAGTGATAGATTTTTGTATATTACCCTCATATCCTGCAACTTGGCTACAACCACTTAGTAGTTCCAGGGTGTTTTTGTTAATTCTTTTGGATTTGCTATATAAATGATCATGTCATCTGTCAACAAAGACAGTTTTATTTCTTTTTTCCCAATCTATTTGCTTCTTATTTCTGTTTATTATCTTATTGCATTAGCTAGTACTGCAGTTTGAATGTTTTCGTTTCTCCAAAATTCACGTGGGAAATTAAACCCCAAGGTGACGGCATTACGAGGTGAAGACTTTGGGAGGTGATTGGGCCATGGGGGCTCTGCCCTCATGAATGGGATTAATGCCCTTATAAAAGAGGCTTCAGAGACGTGCCTGGCCATTCCATCTCTTCTGCCATGTGAGGACACAGCAATAAAGTATCATCTTGGAAGCAGAGTAACCCTTACCAGACACTGAATCTGCTGATGGTTTTGATCTTGGACTTCCCAGCATGCAGAACTGTGAGAAATAAACTTCTGTTATTTATAAATTACCCAGTCTGTGGTATTTTGTTACAGCAGCAGGAATAGAGTAAGACAGCTAGGACTTCCTATATGACATTGAAAGGCAGTGTGGTGAGGGGACATTCTTGCCTTGTTCCTGATCTTAATGGAAAAGCTTCAAGTTCCTTACCATTAAGTATGATGTTAGCTGTAGGGTTTGTAAAGATATTCTTTAACAAGTCAAGGAAGCTCCCTTTTATTCCTAGTTTCTTGGGAGTTTTTATGAAAGAATGTTGGGTTTTGTCAAATTCTCCTTCTGTATCTGTTGGTAAGATCATGTGATTTTGATAAACTATTTTTATTCTCATTTAGTTGCAAATATTTAAAAGTTCCTCAAGATTTATTCTTTGAGCCCTGTTATTCAGAAGTGTGTGTTTAATCTCAATATATTTGGGGATTTCCCAGCTTTCTGTTATTAATTTCAAACTTCATTCCACTGTGGTCTGACAGCAGATATATTATTTCTATTAAGTTTATTAAGGTCTGTTTTATGGCATCGAATGTGGTCTATGTTGGTGAATGTTCTGTGTGACCTTCAGAAGAACGTGTGATCTGCTATTATTGAATAATGTAATCTATAGATGTCAATTATATCCAGTTGATTGATGTTTTTGAGTTCAACTACGTCCTTACCAACTTTCTGCCTGCTAGATCAATCTATTTTTGCTAGAGGCATATTGATATCTCCAACTATAGTAGTGGATTCATTTATTTCTCCTTGCAGTTCTATCAGTTTTTGTGTCATATATTCTGATGCTTGGTTGTTAGGTGCGTACACATTAAGCACTGTTATGCCTTCTTAGAATATTGACTCCTTTATCATTATGTACTGCCCACCTTTATCCCTTATAACTTCCCTACCTCTGAAGTCCTTTGTCTGAAACTGATATAGCTATTCTGATTTTCTTTTCATTAGTGTTACCATGCTATATTCTTTATCTCTTCAATCTGTATATTTAAAGTGGGTTTCTGGCAGTCAAGATATTGTTGGGTTGACTTTTTTGACCCACTCTCACAATCTCTGTCTTTTAATGGCTGTGTTTAGGCCATATTTCAAGTGATTATTAATACAGTTAGATTAATATCTACCATGTTTGTCACTATGTTCCATTGGTTGACTTTGTTATTCTTATTTCTGTCTTCCACACTTTTTCTACCTTTTGTGGTTTTAGTTGAGCATTCTATGCAATTCAATTTTCTCTCCTTTCTTATCACATCAATTATACTTCTTGCTTTACTATTTGTAGTGGTTTCCCTAGAGTTTGCAACATACATTACAATTAACCCAAGTCCACTTTCGAATAACATTATACTGCTTCATGGGCAGTGAAAGTACCTTATAGTAACACAATATTCTGAATTCTTCCCTCTAGTCCCTTGTGCCATTTCACTTACAAACTGTCATTCATTTTACTTACACATAAACTGTCATTCATTTTACTTACCCATAAGCACGCACACACACACACACACACACACACGCACACATAATCAAATACACAGTTACTATTATTGTTTCGAAAAAATTATCTGTTAGTAGGAAGAAAAAATTTTTATTTTACATTTCCTTATTCCTTCTTGAATGGCCTTCCTTTCTTCATCTACATCCAGGTTTCTAACTGAAATAATTTGCCTTCTTTCTGAAGAACTTTTTTTAACATTTATTACAAGGCAAAAAATTCCCTTAATTTTGTCTGAGAAAGTCTGTATCTTTACTTTTTATGAAAGATATAGTTTTGCTGGACACAGAATCCTAGGTTGGTGGGGTTTTTTCTTTCAACATTTCATTTCATTCCAACTCGTCCTGCTTGCATGGTTTCTGAAGAAAAGTCAGATGTAATTCTTAACTGTGCTCCTCTATAGGTAAAGTGTTTATTCCTCTGGATTCTTTCAAGTTTACTTTTCTGACATTTGAATATGGTATGCTTAGGTATAATATTTTTGCCATTTAGCCTGCTTGGTGTTTTCTGAACTTCCTTGATCTTTGGTTGGTGTCTGATACTGGTGAAATTGTCAAGCATTTTTGACTCAAATATTGCTTCTGTCCCTTTCGCTCCTTCTTCCCTTCTGGTATTCCCATTATACATATATTACATCTTTCATAGCTTTCCTGTAGTTCTTGAATATTCTGTTGTCGATTGGTTTTTTCCCCAGACTTGTCTCTCTCTGCTTTTCAGTTCTGAAGATTTCTAGTTGTCATATGCTCACATTCAGAGATTCTCTCCTTAGTCACGTCCAGTCTACTGATAAGCCCACCAAAGGCTTTTTACGGTCTGTTAGTGTTTTTGATCTCTCGCACTTCTTGATTCCTTCTTAGAATTTCCATCTCTATGCTTATATCGTCCATTTATTCTTGTTGCCCATGTTTTGGCATTAAAACTCTTAGCATTTTAATCATAGTTTTTAATAACCCCTGGTCTGATTATTCCAACATTCCTGCCATATCTGACTCTAGTTCTGATGCTTGTTCAGTTTCTTCACACTGTTGTTTTTTGCTTTTTAGTAGGCCTTGTGATTTTTTGCTGAAAGGTCAACGTTATGTACTGGGTAAAAGGAATCTTGCTAAATAGGACTTTAATAACATAGTGTAAGGTGTGGGGAAGGGAGGCCGTCTTAGTCCTATGATTAGATTCAATCTTTAGACAGCCTGTGCCACTGGACTGTGAACTTCACCAGGGCTGTACAGTTTCCCCCCTTATGTGGGACAGGATGACTGGAGGGGGTTGAAGCTGTATATTTCCCTTTCCCCATGTAGAAAGCTACAGTAGGCTGGAGTTAGGTATTTCCCTTCCCCCAGGTAGGTTAGGCTTTGGTAATACCATGTCTCCTGAGGGTAGGCTTTGTTAAGAACAGAAAGCTCTTGCATATTTCAAAATGATCCCTTTCCCCCTCCCGCTCCAAGAAGCACAAGGAGATTTTTCTTCAATATTCACTGTGAGGTCAAGCTCCTAGAGGTAAAAACTCAAAACTGTGGCAGCCCTCCCCCGTGACTGGGTCCCTCTGAAGTTTCTAACTCTCAGAGTTGTCCATACTGGGCATCTAGCGATTCATCAATTACAGTTCAGCCTTTCCTACTCCAGCACTGATCCCCACAGAGGTTTTTCCTTGTGGGTTTGTGTTCCGGTAAGTTGTGATTCTTTATATCTACCTATCTGTCTCTCCAATTTTTGGTGCAGCAGTACACCCCATGGTTTCACTTCCCTGATGGATCTAAAAGAGTTTTGTTTATTATTATTATTTTTGCTTGTTCAGCTTTTTACTTGTTGTTAGGACAGCATGGTTACTTATGAGCTCCTTACATGCCAGGCTGTAAACCATGGAATCACTTTTTGAATGTGGCATTAAATGAAAATACAGAATGTTTCCCTGAAGAAGCAACCACTGAACTAGTATGATTCACTGAAGGATTTTTCTCTTCTCCAACAAAATGTGATACATTCCTAATCATATGTTAAATTTTCTTTTAAGAGACAGAGTCTTACTATGTTGCCCAGGCTGGACTCCATTCTCCTGGGCTCAGGTAATCCTCCTACCTCAGCCTCCCGAGGGACCACAGGTACACATACCACCATGCCTGGCATTATATATTAAATTCTTATCAATACTAGCATTAGTTTTTTTTAATGTGTTTGGTCTTTTATTGGTGCCCCACAATTTTCATTATAACTTGCATGTATAAGCTACATATATACAAGGTATAATTATAATAAATTCCATGTTATCATTGATTCCTATACAATTATTGCATATGTAGTATTGTCTGCCCAGCAGTATTGTCAGTTTTTTAAAGCATCCCATATTTTAAACCTTCTTCATGCCCCTAATAACTTTTACCATAAAGTAGATGCTAAATAAATACTTACTGATTCAACACTCTCCCCAGCCAAACCTGAGATGTTAAAAAATTAGTTGTTGGTTGCCAGGGGGTATCAAGAGTTACTGTTTAATGGGTATAGAGTTTAAGTTTTACAAAATAAAAAGAATCACAGAGATGGATGATGGTGAGAATTGCACATTATAAATGCATTTAAATACACTAAACTGTACTCCTAAAAATGATAAAGATAATAAATTATATGTTATGTGTATTTGCCACATTAAAAAAAACTTTAAAAATAGGAGGAGAAATTAATCTAGTCTATAATAATAAATGGTTAACTACCAGGTATTAAGAAAAGTAAAGATCAATAATACTGCCCCAAGAGCCCCCAAGATAATCAATCTGCTGTATGCTTTCCATATGTGGCAGGCATAGAACATGGATAACTGGCAATACAGAGCCCTTAGAATGGATCTCCTGGTAGCTTTTTGTTTGTTTGGATCAAAGTACATTAGATTAAGAATGGGAAATACTGCTATGTAACACATTGATCAAGGTTCCTGATAGCAAAACAGGTCATTATGAACTCTCTATTCACCTTTTAAAAAATTTTTTAATTACTTTTTTAGTTATACTAGTAAAGCAAAAGGATATTTCAGGACTTTTCAATTTGACAAAACAGTTTATAAAACAAAATGGTGGGTGAGAAAATTGTTACCCTGTTTATTTTTTGAAAAGCTTTATTGAGGTATAATTCACATACAATTCACCCATTTGAAGTGTACAATTCAGTGGTTTTTGGAACATAATATTATTTATTTTTAAAACTGTAGCGAAATATATATTAATATAGAATTTGCCATCTTACCCATTTTTGAGTACACAATCTGGCAGCACTAACTACTTTACATTCCCAGTGTTTTGCAACCATCACCATTTCCTATTTCTAAAACATTTTTATCACCCCAAACTACAGACCATTAAATAATACTTCCCCATTCTCTGCTCTTCCAAGCCCCTAGCATCCTCAAATCCACTTTCTGTATCTATTAATATGCCTAGATATTTCATGAGTGGAATCATACAGTATTTGTCCTTTTGTGTCTGTCTTATTTCAATTAGTGTGTTTTCTAGGTTCATCCATTTTGTTGCACGTGCCAGTACTTTATTTCTTCTTATGGCTGAAGAATATTCCACCGTATGGATAAATCACAATTTGTTTATCCACTCAACTGTTGATGGACACTTGGGTAGTTTCCATCTTTTGAAAGATGCTGTGAATGAGACTGCAGTGAACACTGGCATACAAGTATCTGCTTGGGTCTGCCTTCAATTCCTTGGGGCATATACCCAGAAGTGGAATTGCCAGATCATGTAATAAATTCTACATTTAACCTTTTGAAGAATTAGTAAACTCTTTTTCATAAGCAGCTGCACCATTTTACAATCCCAACAGCAATGTACAAGTGTTCCAATTTCTCCACATTTTTACCAACACGTATTATTCCTAATTTTTTACTTTAAAAAAAATCATAGCCATCTAAGTAATTACCTCATTGGGGTTTTGACCTGAATTTTTCTAATGACTAATGATGTTGAACACCTTTTCATGTATTTATTGGATATGTATATATGTCTGGAGAAATGTCTATTCAAGTCCTTTGCCCATTTTTAATTGGGTTGTCTTTTTGTTGCTGTTGAGTTGTAGGTGTTCTTTATATATTCTAGATACCAATCCAGTATCAGATATAAGCTTTGCAAACATTCTCCCATTCTGTAGACCGTCTTTACGCTTTCTTAATAAGGTCCTTTAATGCATAAAACTTTCAAATTTTGATAAAATATAACTTAACTATTTTTTCTTTTGTTGCTCATGCTTTTGGTATCATACCTAAGAATCCATTGCAAAACCAAAGGTCAGGAAGATTAAACTGTTTTACAAGTTTTAGGGTTCTGGCTTTTATATTTAGGTTACTGACACATGTGGAGTTAATTTTTATATGTGATGTGAGGTAGGTGGTCCAATTTCATTTTGTACATGTGGAAATCAAGTTATCTTGGCACCAACTGTTGATGAGATTATTCTTTCCCAATTGAGTGGACTTAGCATCCTTGTCAAAAATCAACAGCCATAGATGTATGGGTTTATTTCTGAACTCTAAATTCTATTCCACTAGACTATAAATCTATATTATTACTAGACTACATATCTATATTATTCCAATACCACATTGTTTTGATTACTGTAGCTTTGGAGTAAGTTTTAAAATGAGGAAGAGGAGAGTGGTAATTAAGGAAAAGCAACAAAAAGAATGCAAGACCAATGGGAGCTTTGGAAAATAATGGGTTTTTTAAGTTAACTCTGGCTACAGGGTGTAGAATGAGGAAAAAATATCACAACTTAATTTTGGACTAGGAAGAAGGGAGAGGTGAGTGTCAAGGATAATGCTTAGATTTCCGGTTTTCCCAGGGTGTTACACTGGGGTGTTTTCAACTGAGATAAGAAATCTGGGATGGAGACTAAGTTTGCAGAAGGTAGTGGTATATGTATCTGTGTGCTGAGTTTGGTTTCAGACAGACTAAGTTCAGGTGTCTTTTAGACATCTAAGGGAGATGTTAAGTAGGTATGTGGAGATAGAGCTAGTGAGCTGGGGATATATGCTGAAGATTTGTGAGGCACCTAAGCATGGTAACTGAAACCATAAATGTAGATTAGACTGCCCCAGGAGAGAATATGGTAGAAAGTGACCTAGGCCCCTAAGAACTAGGAGCAAATCTAGGAGAGCTGTCTTACAGAAGTCCAGTGAAGGCAAGATTTCAGAAAGTACAGAATATTGCTAGGATGTCAAAAAGCAGAAAGAACTGAAAATATCCACTAGATTTAGCAATATGTTGGTCACTGGTGACTTTGGCAAGAGCTGTCTTAGTGAAATAATAGCACCCCAACTGGACTGGAGTGGGTTAAGGAGTAAGTGGCAGGTGGAGAAACTGAAATAGAGAACTCTTTCCAGAAGACTGACTGACAAAAGTAAAGGAGGTAGATGGAAAAGTAGCCGGAAAGAGACAGAAGAGAGGTCACATGAAGGTCTAGGATTATTTAAATTTTATTGTCATTTTAATTAAAATGCTACATACACATGATTTTTCAAAAATCAGATAGTCCCAAGCCCCCTACCCCCTCTTCCTGCCACCCTAAGCCAATCACTGTCAACTATTTTAGTTTTCTTTTTTGGGTCTTACCTCTGTATTTACAAACCCTACCCTTATGTAATTATCTTCCTACTTAAGTCAATTAATCTCTTTCACATATACCTCTCCAACACACATACACTGTCCTACCTTTTTTCTTCTCAAGAAAGTCATTCTCCAATTTCTAGTTCAATCAAAATGCACTGTTAATTAGGACAATGCACTTCCCCACCACACTGAAATTAGGTGAGGCCACGTGTGGATTTGACAAATGGAATCTGAGTAAACGGGATTTATACCACTTGCACAATGGATGATTTAAGAAAGTTCACTATGATTTGCTATGCTTTCTTTTTCTTTATACTATGGGTAATGGCAATCCCCAATTGGTGGCTGCTCTGGTCAGCCTACATACTAGAATGAGGACAAATGACAGCAGAGCTCCCAGCTCATCTGTGACGGACATGTATTATGAGCAACAATCACTGTTTTAAACCACTGAGATTTTGAGGTTGCTTGATATCACAGCATCACCTAACCAACCCTGCCTATCCTAGAAAGTCAAGGAGATTACACATGAGGAAAGACTTAAATAGTGAAAGAGAGCTAGCCATGCAAAGGGGAAGCACATGCAAAAGCCGTTAATTGAGAAAGAACTCGGTATGTTTGAAGCAGAAAGGACAGTGGAATGAGGTAAACAGAACTATGAAAAGCAGATGAGAGCTATACTGAGATTAAATCATACAGAATCTAAAGCTACAATAAGTAGCTTGGATTGCAATATGACAGCAATACACAGCAACTGAAGGGATTTTAAGCTGGAGTAGGGTGTGAGGGGAACACAGTGTTAAGCAAAATGCTACATAATCAATCAAAAATAGTTGGCATTCCCTTTCCACAGCCAAATTCCAGATCTCAGGCTCAGGCAAGAAACCAAACAATACCTTTCTGGAGAAATTAAATGTTCCCAGAGAAAGACTCTTTAGACACTGACATGTGAAGGTATCTAAAGAAAAAGCCATCTGGCCACCTGACATCCCAACAGTAAATCCAACTCACGCAGAATAGGTATAGGTATGTGTTGAGTCCAAGACAACTGTTCACACTAGCTTTCTAGTGTCTCACCCTTAAATGTGAACAGACAGCCACAGATAACCAGGTATTTGAGACTAGCTTCTCAATAAAGAAAGAGGACACATCAGGCAAACAGAAGAGGGTAAAGGTTGGGGGAGAAGGAGGAATTAAAAACAGAAAATGCAGAAACAGTAAACATTTTTAAAATATATGTAATTAATATGAAAGAGTTAGAAATAGAATTTTATCTATAAACCATAAATAGGATATTATAAGTAGGAATATTCAGGAACATTTAAAATATGAGGAGTAACAAATTCCGTTAAAGGGTTAGAAAATAAATTTGAGGCAATCTCCCAAAAAGTAGAACAAAAAAATAAGGAATGCACAATAGGAGACAAGAAAAATACATGATATAATATCTGAATAATAAAATGGAAGGAAAAAATTATTCAAGAAGAGTTCCTAGCCCTGAAAAATAGCCATTTGCAAATAGAAAGGGCCCATCAACTAACTGTCCAACATATGAATAGAAAGAAGGCCAAAGCACAACAGCTTAGACTATCAAAACACTGAGAGTTGCTTCCCAGGTAGTGGGGGGGTGATGGGGAGCGGTCATAAAACAAAATGGAAGCTAGAAAATGATAGATGAAAGCCTTCTAAATTCTTTAGAAAAAGTATTTTCAACCTAAATGTCTAATCCCTCTAAATGATCAACTAGTGAAGGCCGACTAAAGACATTTCAGTCATGTAGATATTAAAAAAATTTATGCACCTTTTCTCAGGAAGCTACTAATATGAATAAATAAATCAGGAGAAAGAAAAACCTGCAATCTTGCCTTGTCCAGGAAACAGGACTCAACACAGAAGAAGGCAGGGAACGGGAATTCCCAAACCAAGAGCTTTATAGCAGACCTGTAAAAAAGTCCAGTCACCATTACAGCAAGAGCAGACCAGGCTTAGGAAAGGGGCTCCAGGGAATAAACATGAAACTGAGCAACTGCCTTGGACTCAACACATACATATACCAATAAACATGTAAATTTATGCTACAAACAAGTTTATTAACATCCATGCCAAAATCTTAAATAAACTTTGGCAAACAGAATAAAAATAGCATATTTTTTAATGTATCATTACAGAAAGGCAATGATGGTTCAATACTAGGAAATACATTAATATAATAAATGATATCAGAAGAACTAAGAAGAATATCATCACCTCTAGAGATACTGAAAAAGCACTTGACAAAATTCAACATTCATTCATATAAAAAACCCTCAATAACTAAGAATTGAGGGATACTGCTTTAATATACAGGCATAACTCATTGTTTTACAAGTTGCTTTATTGTGCTCCGCAAGTATTGCTTCTTTAAAAAAAAAAAAAATCTGATGTGGCAACCCTGAGTCAAGCAAGTCTACTGCCCTTTTTCTGACAGCGTATGCCCAGTTCATGTCTCTGGATAACATTTTGTTAAGTATCACAATATTTCAGACTTTTCCATTATTGTTATTGAGTTATGGTGATCTGTGATCAGTGATCTTTGCTGTTACTAATTATTTTGGGGTACCACAAACCACACCTATGTAAGATAGTGAACTTAATCAATAAATGTTGTGTGTGTTCTGACTGCCCCACCAACTGCTCATTCTCCCATCTATCTCCCTCTGCTCGAGCCTCCTTGAGACACAACAATAATGAAATCCGGCGCATTAATAGCCCTACAATTGCCTCAAAGCGTTCAAGTGAACGAAGAGTCACATCTCTCTCACTTTAAGTCAAAAACTAAAAATGATTAAGCTTAGTGAGGAAGGCATGTCGAAAGCCAAGACAGGCGGAAAGCTGGGCCTCTTAAGCCAAACAGCTATCCCAGCTGCGAATGTAAAGGTAAAGTTCTTGAAGGAAATTAAAAGCGTTCTTTCAGTGAACACATGAATAAGAAAGCAAAACAGCCTTATTGCTGCTTTGGAAAATATTTTAGTGGTCTGAATAGAACACCAGACCAGCCACAATATTCCCTTAAGCCAAAACCTAATCCAGAACAAGGACCTAACTCTCTTCGGTTCTATGAAGGCTGAGAGACGTGAGGAAGCTGCAGAAGAAAAGTCTGAAGATTGCAGAGGTAGATTCATGAGGTTATTCATGAGGAAAAAAGCTGTCTCCATAAAAGTACAGGAGGAAACAGCAAGTTATCCAGAAGATTTAGCTAAGATAACTGATTAAGGTGGCTACACTAAACAACAGATTTTCAATGAAGACAAAATAGTCTCATATTGGAAGAAATGCCATCTAGGACTTTCATAGCTAGAGA